>NC_000021.9:5499012-5627596 GCF_000001405.40 Homo sapiens | reverse complement strand
GATCCAATGGTTGTAGATGTGTGATGGTATTTCTGAGGCCTCTGTTTTTTTCCATTGCTCTATATATCTGTTTTGGTACCAGTACCATGCTGTTTTTGTTACTGTAGACCTGTAGTATAGATTGAAGTCAGGTAGTGTGATACCTGCAGCTTTTCTCTTTTTGTGTAGGATTTTCTTGCCTATGCAGGCTGTTTTTTGGTTCCATGTGAACTTCAAAGTAGTTTTTTCCAATTCTGTGAAGAAAGTCAGTGGTAGCTTGATGGGGATAGCATTGAATCTGTAAGTTATCTTGGGCAGCATGGTCATTTTCATGATATTGATTCTTCCTTTCCAGGAGCATGGAATGTTCTTCCATTTGTTTGTGTCCGCTTTTATTTCATGGAGCAGTGGTTTGTAGTTCTCCTTGAAAATGTCCTTCACATCCCTTGTAAGTTGGATTCCTAGGTATTTTATTCTCTTTGTAGCAATTGTTGAGTGGGAGTTCACTCATAATTTGGCTCTCTGTTCATCTGTTATTGGTGTATGGAAATACTTGTGATTTTTGCACATTATTTTGTATCCTGAGACTTTGCTGAAGTTGCTTATCAGATTTAAGGAGATTTTGGGCTGAGACAATGGGGTTTTCTAAATATACAATCATGTCATCTGCAAACAGAGACAATTTGGCTTCCTCTTTTTCCTAATCGAATGTCCTTTATTTCTTTCTCTTGCCTGATGGCCCTGGCCAGAACTTCCAATACTATGTTGAGTGGGAGTGGTGAGAGAGGGCATCGTTGTCTTGTGCTGGTTTTCAAAGGGAATGCTTCCAGGTTTTGCCCATTCTGCATGATATTGGCTGTGGGTTTGTCATAAATAGCTCTTATTATTTTCAGATGTGTTCCATCAATACCTAGTTTATTTAGAGTTTTTATCATGAAAGGCTGTTGAGTTTTGTTGAAGGCCTTTTCTGCATCTATTGAGATAGTCATGAGATTTTTGTCATTGGTTCTGTTTATGTGATGAATTATGTTTATTGATTTGCATATGTTGAACCAGGCTTGCATCCCAGGGATGAAGCTGAATTGATCGTGGTGGGTAAGCTTTTGGATGTGCTGCTGGATTTGGTTTGTCAGCATTTTATTGAGGATGTTTGCATTGATGTTCATCAGGGATATTGTTTTTTTGTTGTGCTTCTGCCAGGCTTTGGTATCAGGATGATGCTGACCTCATAAAATGAGTTAAGGAAGATTCCCTCTTTTTCTCTTGATTCGAATAGTTTCAGAAGGGATGGTAGCAGCTCCTCTTTGTACCTCTGGTAGAATTCCGTTGTGAATTCGTCTGGTCATGGACTTTTTTTGGTTCATAAGCTATTAATTATTGCCTCAATTTCAGAACCTGCTATTGGTCTACTCAGAGATTCAACTTCTTCCTCGTTTAGTCTTGGAGGTGTGGATGTTTCCAGGAATTTATCAATTTCTTCTAGGTTTTCCACTTTATTTCCGTAGAGGTGTTTATAGTATTCTCTGATGGTAGTTTGTATTTCTGTGGGTTTCGTGGTGATATCCCCTTTGTCGTTTTTTATTGCGTCTCTTTGATTCTTCTCTCTTTTCTCCTTTATTTGTCTTACTAGTGGTCTATCTATTTTGTTAATCTTTTCAAAAAACCGGCTCCTGGGTTGATTGATTTTTTGAAGTGTTTTCTGTAACATTCAATTTTTTTTAATTCTGTTAAAAAATTTTTTTCCTTATATTTATTTTTAGGACAATGTTTTATGAGCTTTTGACAAGACTGTGAGTTTTGTTGTTGTGTAGAGTGATCTCTATGCATCTGTTACATCTAACTGTTTTACAGTATTTTCATGTCCTCTGTTTTCTTCTTAACATTCTCTCTGGCTTTATTATTAATTACAGAACTGGTGTATTAAAATATTGTTCTCAGTATATTGCAGTTTTTTGTTTATGTTCTGACAAAATATTATTGATTTATTTTAAAATCTTCATGTGAGGTTCATATATATGTGTGTCTGTATACATAATTAGATAAATACACACAATTATATAAATGTATATTATATAAATGTATATAATTTTCCTAGGTTTCCAGTGAATAAACTTTTTTATTATTTTGTCCTTTGTTTTCTTTGACAGTTTTAACTTATAATTTATTTTATAAACTAAGACAGTTATTTAAAAAGTATTTTGCATAATGTGCTCGTGACGTTGTCTTCATTTCATTACGATTTGCATAAAATTGTTTTGATGCATCTTGCCACTTTTAGTCTGTTTTTGTTACTATATAGTAAGATGGCTCATATCTGTCATCCGAGCATTTTAGGAGATTGAGGTGGGAGGTTAACTTGAGCCCAGAAGTTTGAGACCAGCCTGGGAAACAAAGCAATACCATGTCTCTAAAATAAATAAATAAATAAATAAATTGAATCCCCTGTAGACAGATGTAGTTAGATTTTATTTTATTTTTTATCTCTGTACTCTATTTATGACTTTTGTTTGAGAAGTTTAGTTTGTGAGTAGCTACATAATTTCCTGCATTTGAAGGAATTACTTTTGACACTTTTTGGAGTAAAAGGTAAATATTAAATTTGAACTAAATTGGACATGGACTCAAACAATGGTCACCAAGTCCCGGAACAGGTTGTGTGAGCCCCTTGAAGCCCTCATCCAGCGCTGTTTCAGATAAATCTCTATTTCAATTTATTCCTATATCTTAGTTATTGAAAAACAATAGACAATCAAAAAAACAAGTTGACCTTTTTGTGTTCCTTGAGCCCCGTTGTGAATAGCCTTCCTGACCGGACTTCATGCCAAATAACTCATTACAAAAAGAGCTGGGGTTCCAGACTGCGCCAAAGCTTCATGAGATCTCACGTTGTCTGTGGACGGATGAGTGGCCAATCTGGAGCCCAGGCTGTTGCTTCACAGTCTTGTGGTGAATCCTCCATAGTTTGGTGAGTTTAAATATATATATATATCTTTTCCCTTCTCCCCGTCCCATTGCAACTTGCTTATATATTTGCTTATTATATCTGCATTGCCATTTAAGTGGGATAAAGTTTGTTTGAATCACTGGCTGTGCGTGAGGTGCAGCAGGGAGTCCCAGTTGGTAATTGTAATGCTGAGGGAATTTCCCAGCATTGATGATGCTTGCTTACTTCTTATAAGTTAAAGTGTCAATGTAGGGACTGGTTGTTACAAGAGAAATGTAAGCTGGAAAAGGAAAATTTTAATCTGACTTCCAGACTGACCCTGGTACCATGCCAGGCCTGTCTTGACTGATCAGGCTCAAAGCTATCAGCCTATTGCTGAAAAAGCAGCTGTCCGAGTTGCCCAGTCAGGGTAAAACTGAATAACTAGTCAGTTTTCAGGGCAGAAGAGGGTAAAAACCCAAATCCTATCTCAAGGATGGGAAGTTAACTCTAATAAAATTCAATGGCCTGCACAAAGTGTAAAGTTCCTTGGCATCCTATGGACTGCAGGGAAACAGTCCATTTTACCAAAGGCTAACGCTAAAATACTAGAATTTGCAGCCCTACCACTGAAAAGGAGGTCCAAAATTGTATTGGCTTGTTTGGATTCTGGAGACATCATATTCCCCACTTGGGTAACATATTACAACCTCTGCATGCAGTCACTAGAAAACACTATGAATATCACTGGAGAGAGAAAGACAGCCTGGCTTTTCAACAAGCAAAACAAGCTGAGCAACTGGCCCTGGATCTATGGCCCTTATAGGATGAGTCAACAGAACTGCAAGTAACTGTCCTACATCAACATGCTAATTGGAGCCTTAGGTAGAAACAAGATGGGAAGAAGATACCTTTGGAGTTTTAGACCCAGAAGCTGCCAGAGGCTGGCAAAGCTTATACTCTTTGAGAAGCAGCTGTTGGCCTTCTACTGCGCTTGAAGGAAGCAGAACACCTTTGTTTTAATCATGATGTTTTTATGAGGCCCCAAATTCCTATTATGACTTGGGTCATGAGCTCCCTCAAAACCCATTGGATAGGGTACACTCAAGAATGTAGTATCATAAAATGGAAATGGTACATACAAGACCAGGATAAGCCAGAACTAAAAGCGGTATCATTTTTACTTGAAGATGTGCAAAACTTGCCAACTCAGGAAACCACAGGGCAAGTCCTGCATATAGGGAAGGAAACCTCCCCTGCCCAATGGGGCAAATCCTTTAAAGAACTAAGCCCAGAGGATCAGAAACACGCTTGGTTACTGATAGTTCCACCAAATACATTGATGGGACCTGATGCTGGGAGGCCGTGGCTTATAATCCTGTTAAAAACATAAGCGTTTCTGATGAAGGGAGGGGTGTGAGCAGCCAGCTGGCTGAACTAGAAGCCATCCTCCGAACTATTCAGGAGGAGGCCAGAGCAATTTGTTGCTTGTATACCGACTGTTGGTCAGCAGAAAATGGTCTTACTACCTAGTTGCCCGAATGGCAATGAAACAAATAGTGAATAATGAATAAAGAGGTTTGGAGAAAACAATACTAGGAAGATACCTGAATCCTGATGCACATTACTATTATTGCTGTTTTTCATATTGATTCTCATGCATCTCTGCATTCTCTTGACAGACTAAACAGCAGGTAGATCAACAGGCCAAAATTTCCAGCATAAATGCAAACTTGAATGTGGGTGAATGGATTACAACACATTCAAGCCTGGCGATGAGACACATTATAATGTATGGTGGTATAATTGATAATGATTACCAGGAACAGTTAAAGTTCACTTTACACAATACCACTCCACATTCTTTTGTTACAAGACCGCAGATTCGGGTTGCTCAATTGTCAGTGGTACCTGGTACCTTGTTAACAATTAACCCCTGAGGAAATCTCTGCCCCAACAGAGGCTACGTACAGAACTGGGAAATTAAGATCCACTGGTATAGGTAGCTTAAATCCTGGAACGAAAATATGGATACAGCCTCCATCAGATCCCGCCCCTAAGGCTGTGACCTTGTAGGTATGGGAGCAGAAAATAAAAGGGTAGTACAGTTTCCTAAAAATGAAAAACAATATTATGTTCCCCTTCAGTTTTGTTGTTACAGAGAATAACCTGTCTACTAGTAATCAGTACCTGGGTCATCAGGTCTGAGGTGGAGAGTGAATTCATCAACTGGGCAGCAACCACTGCGACAGAAGCTAACCGCAGTCAATGCTGGCTATGCATCAAATTGCCAGAGGCCACAGGAAATGGACTGCCTTGCAGAGTTGTCCTTGCCAATATTTCTGAATGGCTCTGTCACTACAAATGGGGCCAAAACAACAACACTTGCAATCCAACCTGGACTTCCTTTGCTACTTTAATAACATCTTAATACACTATAATTGTAGTATAACCATTGCTGTCCCCTGGGGGGCCCTCTGGGTATGCAGACCCTATGGGTGGCCTATCTGCCCCCTTATTGGATGGGGAGATTCACTTGGGGGTGCCATTAATTCCATTCACCATCCGGGATAATATTCCCTTCCCCAATAATCTAGATGCTTACAAAGGTAGCTGGTTATGAACGTGCCAGACTCCCTGGTGGTGGAAAACTATCACAGTATTCTCCCTTGCCCCTCGTACAATCCTGCTTCAGCAACAAATTAAAATATTAAGTCCACATATAGTAAAAGCTCCTAAGATAGTAGCACTGGACTTCTGTTGTTATCAGAAGAACTTGTTCAGCTGTGTACTGTTGTGTTGCAAAATCGAATGGCATTAGGTATGTTTACCGCAGCCCAAGGAGGGGTTTGAGTCTTGCTGCATTCTGAATGTTGTGTGTATCCCTGACAGTTCTCGCAGTATTACTCTCCTTGCCGAAGACATGCAAGGACAAGTAAAACAGTTAGAATCTAACCATCAGGACCCCATCATGGACTGGCTGTCAAACTAGCATTGGCGTTGGCCGTGGTGGGTGTGGTTTCTATTAATTGTGCTTTTAATTCTCCTCTGCTCTATCTGTAATCTATACCAGTTGTGACTTCCCCGTATAACTGTAAAAATATTTTCCTATGATTCAGTGTCAAATTGAGGCTGAATGAGGAGGAAAAGTTAAATATTAAATTTGAACTCAATGAACATGGACAGAAACAATGGTCACTAAGTCCTGGAACAGGTTGTGTGAACCCCTTGTGGAATTCATCCAGCACTGTTTCTGAGAAATAGTTATTGAAAAACAACAGAAAATCGCAAAAACAAGTAGGCCTTTTCGTTTTCCTTGAGTCCAGTCACGAAGGGCCCTTGTGAGTGGGCCTCATGCCGAACAAATCGTTACAAAAAAAGCTATGGTCCCAGACTGTGCTGAAGCTTAATGAGACCTCTCCTTGTCTGTGCAGGGGTGGGTGGCTGACTCTGGAGTCCAGGCTGACGCTTTCCTATAGGCAAAGCTCAGGGAACAGAGGAGAGTCACATCAAATAGTTGATGAGTCAAGAGATATGTCACAGGGACTCCTGTATGCAGGGTCCAGACAGGAAATCCACATCGTTTTGGTGCTGAGCCCAGCAATATATTACAATGTCTTCTGAGGGAAGAACCAAGGCAAAAAATTAATGTCACTTTGGTGTTAAGCCCAGTGATACATCACAATTTCCACTGCAGGAAGAACCTAGGCAGAAGAGAATAGTTACATCAGCTAGATGGTGCCACCATTGATATGTCACAATCTCCACTTGAACAGGAATCAGTCAGCAGAAGCAAGTCACATCACCTGAGTGATGGGTGCAGAGATAAGTCACAATGTCCCCTGTAGGCAGAGCACAGAAAGGAGAGCTGCATAACCTGGGTGTTGGACCCAGCAATATAGCTTATATGGTAGACCCCTGGCAGAAAAATTACAAAACATGGGTGCAGCACCAAGTATATGTTATAATGTCCCCTGTGAGCAGCACCAAGGCAGGACAGGAGACTCGCATCACTTGGTTGCTAAGACAAGTGATCTGCTACAATCTTCTTTGTAGGCAGGGTGCACACACTTTTTTTAGGTGGTGAATGCAGAGAGATGTCCCAAGGCCCCCTGTGAACAGGGCTCAGGCAGTAGCCATCAATTCCCTAGGTATTATGCCCAGCAGTATGTCACAATATACAAAATATGCAGGGCCCAGGGAAAAGAGGAGAGTCACATCATGTGGGTGCTTGTCCCAGTGATTTGTTACAATCTCTCTTTTTGACAGGACCCAGGCAGAAGAGGGGGGTCATAGGTGCTGGGTTCAATAATGTCACAATTTTATCATGGGCTGGGCTACGCAGAAGAGTCAAGTCACTCACGAGCTGGGCCGAGATATATTTCACAGTTATACCTCCAGGAAAGTCCAGGGCTGAGACTGACAATCCTGCACATGTCCCATATCTAGGTGTGAGAGCAAACACATTGTGTTTGTTGGGTCTAAGTGTAGAAGTCACAGTCTCAATGGTGCACTGGATCTGTGCATGGCAGCTTCAGTCTTTCCCGAGGACCGTGGCCCCTTAATGGAGTCACAGCCTCACGTGTTTGCTGAATGTTGGTTTTAGAGTCACTGACTCAAACATGGATCGCATCCACTTATGAGAGTCAATTATTCATCTCTCAACCGCCTCCAGGTGTGAGATTTGGAACCTCAACAATGGGCTGTGTTCATGTGAAAAGATGACAATTTTTACTCTTGGCTCAGCGTAGATATGAGTGTCACAATCTACTTTTGTTCTGGGCCCTGTCAGGACACTCTCTTCACCATATGCAGCCTTTATAGAGTATGCATGAGTGTAACAATTCTCTCTGAAACCTTAAGCAGGCACGGACCCCTCCTTGTACCTTTAGCTTTAAGCCCTGGTATGACAGTCAACATCTTTCTACTTGGATGGGTCCAAATAAGAGTTCTTAACTGCCTATGAGCTGCGTTTAAAAATGAGTCACCATCCCACCTGTGGCTGGATGTTCACATATGAAAGTCACAATCCCAGTTGTGGACTGTGTCTGCATGTGTAATTCAGGACCTCAAGAGTGGGCTCTCTCCACGTGTGATAGAGACCATCCTGAATATTGGTGTGGTGTGCATCTGAGAAGTATAATCTCACCAGTGTGGCGAGCCCTGTGGTGACAATTTCTCTACCATAGTTTACACAATATGCAAGACAGTGGTACTCCTCCGTGTGACGTATCACTGGGCCTTGCACACAGGTAATGTGAGTCTCCTCTCCTGCCTTGGAACGCTCACAGGAGGCATTGGGTCATACCACTGAAGCTGATATTCAGGTTATGTGCCTGTCTTTCCTGTGCTCTGTCCATGGGCTTTTGTGACATATTTCTGGGTCCAAAACACAGGTGACATAACTCTCCTGTCTGAACTCTGCCTAGAGAGGGCATGGTGGCATATCTCTGCACCAGCCACTAGATGATGTGACTCTATCTTCTGTCTAGTCTCTGCCTACAGGGTGAATTGTGACTTATCACCCGGCGCAGCATTTAGCTAATGTGACTCTTCCCTTTTTTCAGGTTCTGCCCTCGGGGGAGATTGTGACATATCGATTTGTAAAACACCAAAATGATTTTACTCTTTTATCTTGGCTCTGCCCTCAGAAGGCTTTGGGATATATTGCTGAACAAGCACCAAGGTAATGTGATTGTCCTACCTGAACCCTGCCCACAGGGAGCATTGTGACATATCTCTGAGCCCATGAACTATTTGATATGGCTCTATTCTCTTACCTGGGCTTTCGCCATGAGAAAGATTGTGAAGTATTTCTTGGTCCAGTGCTTAGGTAATGTGATTCTCCTCTCCAGCCTGAGACATGCCCACAGAAGTAAGAGTGACATCTCTGGGCCTAGCCCACAGGTGATGTGAACCTTATCCCTTGTTTCTGCCCAGGGGAGTCATTGTGATGTATCTCTGAGACCATTATTAGAATGATGTGACTCTCCTGTTCTTACTGCGACCTGTCCACAGTGGGGATGATGATGTATCACTTAGGCCAGCACATATGTGGTGTGACTCTCTTTTCATGCCTGTGCCCTGCCCCCTGGGTTAATTGTGACATATAACTGGGCCCCTCCCATAGGTTATGCAACATATCCCTGTGATAACACTCTTTGTACCATTTAAGAGCTTTATATAATATGAGAGAGTTGTATTCCTCTAAGACCTTCATACAAAACGAAGAGTTAAGACCTACCGGTTTTCCAAAGCCTCCCTATGAAAAACAGTATTTCTCTTAGTGGCAGGTTTGAGGTATGAGAGTCATTATTACACCTGTGAGCTGGCCAAGATATATGTTTCAATCTCTTCTGTGGGAAGGGAGTGAGCAGGAGAGTCACGTCACCGGGATGCTTGGCCTGAGATCTGTCAATATCTTCCCTGATGGCAGGGAACAGGTAGGAGAGTCACATACCTAAGGCTGGGCCAGGGATATGTAACAATGTTTTCTGAGGTCAGAGGCTAGGAGGGGAGTCCCATCACTTGTGTGCTCACAGGGGATATGTTACAATCCCCTCCTGAAATCAGAGTACAAGCAGCAGAGTCAAATCACCTGAATATTGAGCTCAGTGATATGTCACCACACTCCCTGTGGGCAAGGCCATAGCAGGAGAGAAACATCACCTGATTACTGATTACTGGGCCCAGTGATATGTCAGAATCTTTCCTGTGGGCAAGGTGCAGGCAGAAAGGAGAGTCACATCATCTGGTGTTGGAAGCAGAAATATGCTACAAGGCTCACTGTGGACAGAGTTCAGGCAGGAGCCTCTAATCTCCTAGGTGTTAAGTTCAGTGATACGTTACAATGCTCCCTGTGGGCAGCACGAAGTCAAGAGAATAGAGCCACATCACCTATGTTCTAGGTCCAATGATATGTCCCAATTTTATTTGTGAGCTGGGCTTAAACAGAAGAGTCTAATCACTCAGGTGCTGGACAAATGTGTATGCTTGTCACAATGACACCTGCAGGAAAGTCCAGATATGGGATGAATCCCGCACATATTCTGGTTTTATGCATGAGAGTGAACACCTTCTGTATGTTTGATCTAAGTACACAAGTCACTATCTCAATAGTGGACTAAATTTGTGCATGGCAGCCCCATTTTCTCTTGCGTACTTTGTCCCCTAATTGAAATCACAGCTTCCTAGGTGTGCTGACTCATGATCTGAGAGTCATCAACACATCTGTGACTCTCAAATATGAGAGTCAATTTTTCAACTTTTCAATCTGCCTTTGGGTATGGGATTCAGAGCCTCAAAAGTGAACTATGATCATGTGAAAGAACGACAATCTTTAATGTTGGCTGGGTGTGCATCCCAATGTCATTATATTACTGTGTGCTGAGCCCTATTAGGACTTTCTGTGTTGCACCTGACGGCTTTATGTTGTATGCATGACAGTCTCAATTCTTTCAGAGATTTTCATGCTGGTATGGACCCATGATCAAACCTGTGGCCCTAAGCCTATATATGAGTCAACATCTTTACAATTGGCGGGGTCCAGATAAGAGAGTCATCAGCTTTCTATGCGCTGGGTTTATAACGAAGTTCCCATTCCAACTCTGGCCAGATCTTTACATATGAGATTCGCAATTCCAACTATAAACTGCATTCATGTGTGAAATTCAGGACCTCACCAGTGGGTTCTGTTTATATGTGAGGGTGAAAATCATAATGGTCAGGAGGGTTCAGGGTGCGCATAGGAGTAACAAATTTCACCTGTGTGCTGGGCCCTGTGATAAGACTCTCTACCACCTGAGGACTTTCTGTAATATATGAGAGAGTGGATGATCTTAGCGAGGAGACCCAGGGTTTTTTTTCATTTCCCTAAGTGTAGCTAGGAGAAGCAGTATCTCTTCTATTGGCTGGTTTGACATATGAATGTCATCATTGCACCTGTGTGTTGTGTTCCAAGATATATGTAACAATTACACCTGCATATAGGAAGAGAGCAGGAGAGTAAAATCAGTTGGATGCTGGGTCAGTGATATGTCGCTTCCCTGAGGACAGGGACCAGTCAACAGTCACATTACCTGAATGTTCAGGCATTGGTATGTTGCAATCCACTCCTCACATTAGGAACGAGGCAGCAGAGACACATCACCTGCATGCTGGATCTAGCAATATTTCACAATCCTCTCTGTGGTCAGGATGCAGGCAGAAGAGTCACATCTTCTTGGTGATGAATGCAGAAATATGTCACAAGCTTCACTGCACGTAAGGTAGAGGAATAAACCTCTTATTCCCTAAGTGTTGGGCCCAGGGATATGTCACAATACCCAAAATATGCAAACCCAGGCAAAAGAGAACAGTCACATTACCTTGGTGTTAGGGTCAGTGATATGTCACAATCCCCTCTTTTGGAAGGGCCCAGGTAAGAGTGGAGAGTCACATCGCCTAGGCAATGAATAGAAGAGTATGTCATAATACCCCTGTTGGCAAGACCTATGCAGAAGAGTCACATCACCTATGTGTTCAACCCAGATATATGTTACTGTACACCATGTATGCAGGGCCCAGGCAAGAGAAAAGGCCACATCACCTCGGTTCTGGGCCCAGCAATATATCACAATTCCCCCTAAGAGGAGGTAACAGACAGCAGAGTCACATCACCTAAGACTGAGGAGCAGAGCTATATGGTAGTTCCCTGTGTGTGTGGGCCCAAAAATAGAGGAGAGTTACATCACCTGAAGACTGTACCCAGCTATAAGTCTTAATCACCCCTGTGGCCAGCACCCAAGCATGAGAAGAGAGTACCATCATGTAGGTGCTGTGCCAGGCTGTATTTCACAATCTCCACTATGGATAGGTTTCAGGGGGAAGAGGAGCATTACATTATCTAGTTGATGAGTCTAGAGATATGTCAAAATGACCCCTCTGGAGACACCAGGATGCAGAATCACATGACCTGTGTGCTGGGTCTAGGAATAACCCACTCTCCCTTCTGTAAACATGGCCATGGCAGAAGATGAGGGTCACATATTTAAGGTGATGAACACGGAAAGATTTCACAAGGCTCCCCATAGGCAAGACCCAGGCAGGACTTTCCCTTCCCTCAGTTGTTGGGAGGAGAAATACATCACAATGTGGGGCTCAAGCAGAAAACAAAAGAAATATCCCCTATTTTCAGGGCTCAGAATTATGTCACAATCTCTCCTATGGGCAAAGCCTTTGTTAAAAAAGGAGAATCTTGTCAAATAGTTGATGGGCTCAGAGATATGTCCCAATGCCATATGTTACAAATTGCTGTAGGCAGGCTTCAGGCAGGAGACTCACCTTGGTGTTGGGCCCAATAATGTGTCACAGTGCTTTCTGCTTGCAGAGCACAGTCAACAGAGTAATGTCACTGAGAAGTTGGACCCACCAATGTATCACAATCTCCTTCCAAACAAATCCTAAAAAACAAAAGAAGAGTAACATGAGATAGGTGCTGGGCACAGTGATATGTCACAATCCTTTCTTTAAGCAGGGACTAGGCAGGAGAAGAAAATCACGCCACATGGGTGATGGGCTCATAGATATTTCACAATGTCCCCTTAGGCAAAGCTCAGGAAGGAGAGGTAAATCATCTAGGTTTTGGATGCAACAATATGTCAAAATGGCCATTGTGGACTGGGCACAGGCAGAAGAGTCACATAACATGGATGTGGGACCCAGCAATACATCACAACACCCCTGTGAGTAGCACTAATGCAAGGCAGAAAACATACATTACCTAGGTGCAAGGCCAAGTGATATGTCCCAATGTCCCCTGTGGGCAGCACCAAGGCAGGAGATAAGAGTCACATCATTTAGGTGCTGGCTTCAGTGATATATCAGAATCCCATCTGTGAGCTGGACACAGGAAACAGAGCTAAAACACTCAGGAGCTGGGCAGAGATGTATGTCACAATCCCACCTGCAGAAAGCGACAGGGATGAGATGAACAACTCCACACATGTCCGGATTCCAGGTATGAGAATTTGTATGTTTGGCCTAGGTACAACAGTCCCAATCTCAACAGTGAACTGGATTCATAAATGAGTCTTCTCTGGCTGAGAAGAACTTCTCCCCTTAGGAGAGTTACAGTCTCACAGATGTAATGAATTTTGGTTTGAGAGTCACCCACCTACCTGTGGACAAGATCCATATATGAGAGTCAATTTTCTCTTTCTTTCTTTCTTTCTTTCTTTCTTTCTTTCTTTCTTTCTTTCTTTCTTTCTTTCTTTTTTCTTTCTTTCTTCTTTCTTTCTTTCTTTTTCTTTCTTTCTTCCTTCCTTCCTTCTTTCTCTTTCTTTCTTCTTTCATTCTTTCTTTTCCTTTCTTTCTTTCTCTTTCTTTCTTTCTTTCTTTTCCTTCCTTCCTTCCTTCCTTCCTTCCTTCCTTCCTTTCTTTCTTTCTTTCTCTCTCTCTCTCTTTCTTTCTTTCTTTCTTTCTTTCTTTCTTTCTTTCTTTCTTTCTTTCTTTCTTTCTTTCTTCTTTCGGTCCCTTGAGACGGAGTCTCACTCTATCGCCAGGCTGGAGTGCAGTGGGGCGATCTCGGCTCTCTGAAACCTCTGCCTCCTGGGTTCAAGCAACTCTCTTGCCTCAGCTTCCCGAGTAGCTGGGATTGCAGGTATGTGCCATGACGCTCAGCTAATTTTTGTATTTTTAGTAGAGATGGGGTGGACAGGCACAGTGTCCCATGCCTGTAATCCCAGCACTTTGGGAGGTCGAGTTGGGTGGATCACCTGAGGTCAGGAGTTTGAGACCAGCCTAATCAATATGGTGAAACCCCGTCTCCACTAAAAACACAAAAATTAGCTGGGAATGGTGGCATGAGCCTGTACTCCCTGCTACTCGGGAAGCTGAAACAAGAGAATTGTTTGAACCCGGGAGGCGGATGTTGCAGTAAGCCTAGATGGTGCCACTGCACTCCAGTCTGGGTGACAGAGCAAGACTCTGTCTCAAAATAATAATCATAATCATAATCATAATCATAATCATAATCATAATCATAAATAGTAGAGAGACGTGGTTTCACCATGTTGGCCAGGATGGTCTTGATCTCCTGATCTCATGATCTGTCCGCCTCGGCTTCCCAAAGTGCTGCGATTACAGGTGTGAGCCACTGAGCCACGCCGGTTGTGCCCATTTTTGAGGATGGCAACTTTTATTGTCACCAGAGTGTGCATGAGTGTTAGAATCTCACCTGTTTGCTGGGCCCTGTTAGGACACTATGTACCTCCTGTGGGCCTTGTAGAGTATGCATTAAACATAATCCACTCTGAGGTCTTCATGCTGATATGAACCTATGATCATACCTGTGGCCATAAGTCCAGGTATGAGAGTCAACATCTCTCCAGCTGGCTGGATCCAGATAAGAGGATCTTTACTTGGCTGTAAACTGGGTTCAGAAATAAGTCACTATCCCCACTGTGACTGGATGTTCACAAATGATAGTTACAATTCCAACTGTGGACGGCATTCAGGTATGAGGTTTAGACCTCCCTAATCACCTCTGTTCCTGTGTAGGAATGAGAATTCTGATGATTGGTGGGTGTGCACACAGAGAACACAATCTCACCTGTGTTCTGGGCCCTGTGATGACACTGTACCATCTGAGTGCTTTACAGGATATGCAAGAGTGCTTACTTTCTCTGACCTTCATAGTAAGAGAAGACCCATAATTTTGCAAGTTTTGTTAAGCCTGGCTGTGAGAGAAAGTATCTCTGCTATTGGTTGGTTTAAGGTATGAATGTCATCGTCACACCTACATGCTAAGCCAAAATATATGTGACAATCTCACATTTGGGTAGTCAGAAGCAGGACAGTCTCATCACCTGGGTCTGTGTCAGGGACATGTTGCAGTCTTCCCTGAGGACAGGGACAAGGCAAGAGAGTCACATCCCTAAGAGTTCTGCCAGGGATATGTTCTTGTTCCCTCCTGAAAGCACGACACATGCAGCAGAGTCACCTCACCTGGGTTCTGGGCCCAGTGATATGTCACAATTTTCCCTGTGAACTAAGCACAGGCAGGTGAAACACATCACCTGTTTGCTGGGCCCAGAAATATGCTACAATTTTTCTTGTGAGCAGGGTTCAGGCAGAAATGGGGGGGGATCATATTTTCTAGGTGATAAATGCAGAGCTATGTCACAAGGCCCTCAGTAGTCAGGGTCTTGGTAGAAGCTTCCTATTGACTAGGTGATTCGCACAGTGATACATCACAATAGCTAAATTATGTGGGGCCCAAGGCAAAGAGGAGAGTTGCATCACCTAAGTGATGAACAAAAAATACTTCATAGTACCCATGGGGAAATGGCCCATGCAGGTGAGTCACCTTACCTACGTGTTGGACCCAGTGATATGTCACAATACACAATAAATGTAGGGCGCAGCCAAGAGCGGACAGTCAAATAGCTCAGGTGCTGGGCCCGGTGATACATTGTAATCTCTCTTTGGTCAGAGCCCTACAGTAGAAGAAACTCAGTTCACCTCGGTGCTGAGGTCAGCCATATGTCACAATACCCCTGAGAAATGAGCCCAGGCAAAGAGTCACTACATTTAGGTGAGAGGCCCACAGATATTTTGCAATGGCTCCTGTGGGTAGCACTCTGTAAAAAGACAGTCACATTACCTAGAGTCTGCCCGCAACGATTTGTAACAATCCCTGCTATAAACAGGTAGCAGTCAGGAGAAGTGAGTGCCATCACCTGGGTGGTCAGTGTAGAGATATGTCACAATGCCCCCTGTAGGCAAAGTCTAGACAAGAGTTACATCACCTGGGTGTTGGACCCAGCAATATGTCACAATGGCTCATGTGGGCAAAGCACAGGACAGAGTCACATAACAAAGTGCCAGGACCAGTGTTAGGTCAGGATACCCATTATGGGCAGTGCCAAGACAGGAGAATAGAAGCATATTAATTAGATGCTGGATTCAAGGATATATCACAATCTCATCTGTGGGCTACACCCAGGCAAAAATGTCAAATCACTCAGGAGCTGGCTAGAGGTGTACGTCAGAATCACACCTGCAGGAAGGTCCATGGATGAGATTAACAATCCCACATAAGTTCCGGTTCTGGGTATGAGAGTGAACGCCTCCTGTATGTTGCATCTATGTGCATAAGTCACAATCTCAATGGAGGAATGGGTTTTTTCCATGAGAGCCTTAATCCCTTTTGAAAACGGAGTTATCTTAGTGGATTCACAGCCTCACAAGTGTTTTGGATCTTGGTCAGGGAGTCACAAACCCACTTAAGGACAACATCCACTTTTAAGAGCCAATTTTCCAACTTTTGACTGCCTCTGGGTGTGAGTTTCAGAACCTCAATTATGGTCCATGTTCGTGTGGGAGAATGACAATTTTGACAGATGGCTGGGCTCAGGCAGGAGCCTTTCATCCTGCAGGTGTTGAGACAAAGGATATGATACAACACCTAAAATATGCTGGGTGCAGGCAAAAGAGGAGACTCATATTAGCTGGTTGCTAGGTCCAGTTATATGTCACCACCTCCCTTTTTGGCAGGGCTAAGGAAAAAGAGGAGAGTCAGAGCTAAAGAAATGTCATAATGTCCCTGTGGGTAGGGTCTATGCATAAGAGTTGCATCACCTAGTCATTGAACCCAGCCATATATTAGAATACATAATGTATACAAGGCCCAGGCAAGAAAGGAGAGAATATCACATAGGTACTGTGTCCAGCAATATGTCACCATACCCCCCAGAGGGGAGGCTCCAGGCAACAGGGCAACATTACCTAAGTGAAGTGCCCAGAGAGATGTTTCAATGCCCCTGGTGGGTAGGATTTTGAAAAACGAGAAGTTACAGAACCTAGGGGCTAGGCCTAGCTATGTGTCACATTCATCTCCAAGACAGAGCCCAGACATGAGAGAAAAGTCACATGATGAAGGGCATGTAATATGTCACAATCCTTATGTGAGCAGGCCCTAGGAAGAAGTAGAGAGTCACATAGTCTAGATGATGGGCCCAGAGACATTTGACAATGACTCCTGTAGGTAGGGACCAGGCAGAAGAATCACATCACCCCTGTGCTGTGCCCAGTTATAAGTCACACTTCCTTCTGTGGGCATGCCCCAGGCAGGGAGAATTCACATCATCCCAGTGCTAGACCCAGGGATATGTCACAATCTCTCTTATGGGCAATGCTCTGGTAAGAGAGGAGAGTTGCATCAAATAGGTGATGCACCCAGAAGTATGTCACGATGCCTTCTGTGAACTCGATCCAGGCAGAAGATTCACATCAACATCAACTTGGTGCTAAGCCCAGCAACGTGTCACAATCCCTTCTGTGTAAAGGGACCAGGCAGGAGAAGAGAATCACATCACCTGGCTGATGAGCACAGAGATATGTCACAATGCCCCTGTAAGGCAGGGCCCAGGCTGTTGGGTTACATAGCCTGAGTAGTGGACCCAGCAATATTAACACAGTGTCCCATATGGGCAGTGCACAAGCCGGAGAGTCACATAACCTGGATGCGAGGCCAAGCTATATATAACAACGCTTCCTGAGGGCAGCGCCAAGGCAGAAGAGGAGACTCACATCACCTGGGTGTAAGGTCTAGCGATATGTCAAACTGCTCACTGTGGGCAGTGCCAAGGAAGGAGAATAGAGTTACATCCTCAATGTGCTGGATCCAGCAATATGTTAATATCCCATCTGTGGGCTGGGTCCATGCGAGCCCGTCAAGTCACTTAGGTGCTAGGCACTGGGAAATTTCACAATGGAAGCTGCAGAATGGTCCAGGAATTAGATTAACAATCCCACAGCTGTCTCAGTGGTAGGCATGACATTCAACACCTCCTGTATGTTGGGTCTAAGCCCAAGAGTAACCATCTCAACACCAGACTGGATTTGCGCATGACAGCCTCAATTCCTCTGCAGACTGACCTGTGTTCCCGTGAGAGGATGACAATAGTTACTGTTGGCTGGGTGTGCATATGAGTGTGACAATCTCACCTGTGTGCTCGGCCCAGTTAGCACGCTCTGTGTACTACCCAATGGCCCTATACAGTATGCATGAGAGTCGTAATCAACTTTGAGACCTTCCTAATGGTAGGGACCCATGATCATACTTGTAGCATTAGGCCCAGGGATGAGAGTCAACATCATTACAATTAACTATGTCAGGATAGGAGACTCATCCCTTGCCTATGAGCTGAGTTTAGATGTGGGCCACCATTTTAACTCTGGTTGAATGTTTATATATGAACACAGGCCTAGCACCAATGTGATGTGAGTCTTTGGCCTAGACACTTCAAGCAGGAGGCAATGTGACATATCTCTGGGTCTATCAACTATTTGATATGACCTTCCTTTTTTACCTGAGCTTTCCCCATAAAAGAGATGTGACATATGTCTAGACCCAGCACCTGGGTGATGTGGCTCTTCTTTATTGACTGAGCCCTGTGTATTTTGGGTATTCTGACATATCCCTGTACCTAACTTCTGGAAGATAAGAAGATCCAACATGGGCCCTGCCTAAAAAGTCTCTTGTGACAAATTTCTACATGAATCACCTTGGATATTTGACTCTTCTCTCTTACCTGAGCTTTGCCCATAAGAGAGATTGTTACGTACCTCTGCAGCAAGCACCTAAATGCCGTGACTCTTCTTTCTTGCCTGGGTCATGCCCACAGATGAAAGGTGGCTTATCGCTGTGTCCAGCACACCGGTTATGTGATTATGCTGCCTGATCTCTTCTCACAGGAGCTGTTGTGACAAATCCCTGGGCCCAGAAATTATTTAATACGACTCTCCTCAATGACCTTAACTTTGTGCATGGGATAAATTGTGACATACCTCTGGATCCAGCACCGAGGTGATGCGACTCTCCTTTTCTGCATGGGCTATGCTTACAAGAAGGAGGCTGACTTATTGCTGTGTTGACAACTGATGTGATACCTCTGTTCTTGTCTTCCTAGATTTTAAGAATTTAAACAAGAGACACAAAGAAAAAAAGTACAGCATAATTTATTGGAAAAGAAAATATTTGAAAGTTAAGTGCAGAATACAGTACACCCTGAGAGAGATACTCCAGGGCTGACTGCTCATAAGAGTGAGACAGCGTGGACTGTCGCTGGAGAAACCCCTTTATGGCAGTTTTACATTATTATTAATAAGGAGGAGGGAAGAGGAGTTGCTAGTAAACATGTTCTCTGTGGTATTCTGGGTGCATATGCGCAGTAGCTGTACATGCTTGTTCATATGTTGCATGTCTCGTTAGCATCTTATATTTCCACCCAGGAGTGTATTTCTGTGTGTTTGTTTGTTTGTTTGTTTGAGACAGAGTCTCGCCGTGTTGCCCAAGCTGGGGTGCAGTGGTGTGATCTCTGCTCACTGCAACCTCTGCCTCCTGAGTTCAAGCCATGCTCGTGCCTCTGCCTCCTGAGTATCTGGGATTACAGGCATGCACCATCATACCCTGCTAATTTTTGTATTTTTAATTTAGACGGGGTTTCTCTATGTTGGCCAGTTTAGTCTCGAGCTTCTAGTTTGAAGTGATCCATCTTCCTCAGCCTCCCAAAGTGCTGAGAGTAGAGGTATAAGCCACCGTGCCTGGCTAGGGGGTGCATTGTTTGCTATTAAAATAAGCAAAATTTAAGTTTGAGGGCAGGTGAAATCAAAATACACATGCTCTCTAGAACAGAAAGTCCTTAATGAGGATAGCTTTGCTCGAATAAGCCCAATTACAATGCGAATGCTACGGCTTATTGTGTTGGCTGTACAGTCACCATGGTTTCTGTATCCTGAGATCATGGTCATTTTCTGTACTATCTATTCTGCCTCAATTTCCCCCTAAGAGATTTTAGGGCAATAACCATATTGGAGGTTGAGGGGTTAGACCACTTTTTCTGGAGCTGTTTCCTGCTGAGTGGGTGTTACTTCTGCCTAGCCTGGGCCTTAAAGTTTCTTCCTGTGTGATCTAACAGGGTGTAAACCATGTCATTCGTGGAACCAGTGGGAAGATGTTGGCAGCCAAAGATTGAAAGCCTTGCAAACCATCATGCAAACATGGAGCTGCCACAAGCAACATAGCAGGAAATCAGTTAACATTTTAAACAAAATTGGAACAAAAGTAGAAGTTGAAAATATAATAATGACGGGTACTATTAAAGAGAGCAAGGCAGGCAATGGACATTGCTTTCATGTTCCCATGGAAGTTCCTAGAGATTCAATTTTGTCTGCCTGGGTGATGATATTATTAATATTTTCTTGGAATAAACCAGAATGATTGATCTCAAAAAACAGCATTCTTCTTTTAGATATAAACATGTTCCTCTTTGCTTGGCTGGGAGAAGATCCCAGGCTCTTTGATTTTGTTGGAATGCAGTGGCCATGGAGTCCAGATGTTGTTGAAGTCTATTGAGGCCCTCTGCTGCCTGTTGGGGACACACTGAGATTTTCTGAGATAGTTTATACTGGATTCCCAAGGCTCCACCTTATGGTGACATTTGTGCTGCAAAAGTATTCTGCTTTAAAATGGTGAAAGCAGCAAAAGTTTTAAGTCTTTTCTATTTTTCGCAAATAAGAAAAAGTTTTGTGCAGCTGAGTTGGCAGCAGTCATTGGGTCCATTTATGGATGGTAAAGTTGAATGGTGGTCAAAGTTAGAGACTGGAAGGCTTCAGTAAACGCGCTGAAGTTGTCTGAGAGCCATCAGAGCTGTTGCTTACATTGGATTAGATCATTTACTGGGAAGAGAAGAAGCACTCTGATGGTCCTCTCTCCATTTGAGACTTTCTGTAAGCGGATCAAATTCTCTGGCCCTGCATGGTGTGAAGCTCCACTGTGAGTAACTGCAGCTGGACTGGTCTCTATTGTAACTGGCAAAGGCTGATAGAGGAGCATAAGGAGGAGGTGAAACAAGCTTAGATTCTACAGAAGACTCTGATAGTGTGGGGACGCTGGGGATTCTAAAGCAGGTGTAGGCCTCTGAGGGCCCCTATCTGGAGCTGGTATTAGGCTGTGGGGTCTGGGGTCACTTGTCCATAAAACAAATGATCTTCTACTGGATCTGAGGGGCTTTGTGGCTTACTAGGCTTTAGCCCACAGGTGCTGCATGGAGCTGGGTTTTGTTGTCGGGCCAGAAAGTCTTGCACATAGGATACTTCAGACCATTTTCCCTGATTACTACAGAAAAGATCTAGCTGTATGATGGTGTTAAATTTCACAGTCTCATTCTCCAGCCATGTTTTGTCAGCTAATCTGTATGCAGGCTAAATAGTTTTACAAAAGAAGATAATTGTTTTTTTGCTTCATTTAGCCAAAAGCTGTTTCAATTTTTAAATATACATCCCAGGTGTGTTTCAGTGACAGTAGAGGAAGTGATTCCCATGGTGCCGAGAGAATCCTGCAAACGACAGAACATGTACTAAAGTCCAGGAGGCTGTGGGCAGCCCCATGAGCCAAGTGGAACCACCAAGTTGTCCAACTCATCCCCTTGAAACCCCATTAACTGAAGCTCTAGGAGGTCATAGGCATTTGCCATGCACCGTCCTAGCTCTCACCAGCGCTGGACATCTCCAGCCCTGCCGAGATGACCCCCACTGCTCGCTGGGGGGCAGATGTCTGGCTGACAAGCCTTTCCCTAATTCAGTGGTTTGCCATTTATGATGCCCAATTATAACACCTGCAATGCTCAGATTCAATCCCTATGACTGGGCCTATCCATGACTGTGCATCTTTTGTTCAGCAAAGAAAGCCTGTTGAAGAACAATTTCAAGGAGCTGGGAAATGCATAAAGCCTAAAGGGACAGGGTTTCCCCAGAACTTTAGTGAAACAGTGCTGGAAGAACCAGCGATAGTTAACCAGGTAGTCTGGAAGTGCCACAGTATTCACGGCAAGTAAAGGGAAAGTGAAATCAGTGAAGCGGACAGACCTCTCTCCAGGCCATGGCAAAAGAAATGTTGATGGCTGATGTAATACCTTGATTCTTATTTTCTTAGTTTAAAAGAATTCAAACAAGAAACACACAGCAAAAGAAGTACAGCATAGAGTAATTTATTGCACACAAAAAAAGAAAAGACTACTTTGAAAATTAAGTGCAGAATAGACGGTACATTCTGAGAAAGAGATTCCAGGGCAGGCTGCTCATAAGAGTGAGACACCATTAATTGTTACTGGAGAAACCCTCCTTCTGGGGGTTTTGCACGATTATTCATAAGAAGGTGGAAAGAAGTGTTAGTGTAAGCATGTTTTGAGTGGTCTTCTGGGTGCACATGTGCACTAACTGTACATATTTGTGCATACATTGCATGTCTCATTAGCATCTTAAGTCTCCACCTAGGAATGTGTTTTTACTATTAAAATGAGCAAAAGTTCAGTTTGAGGACAGATAAAATCAAAATGCACATGTTCTCTAGAAGTAAAAGTCCCTACTGAAGATAGCGGGTTTCAAACGACCCCAAGTGCTCCACATCTTAAATGTCGCTCCAACAAAGCTGGAACACTATCTGCTCCTGAGGGATCCGGTCCCATTTGTGTTTCTGAGACACTGGCAAGTCAGGAGTGACTTGAGATGAGACCGATGATTTCAAGTGTAAAATGCCTAAATAGTCAGCAGCTTCAGGTTTCATTTTGGAGCTTGTCCACTTAAATGGGTTGATGAAAATGGCTCACAAGACTCATGCCTCGGAAATGGGGTTTTCTCCTTTGCTCTTAGCAGATTTTGTGCAACCCAATAATTAACCTTCCTGATGCCTCAACTTTCACATTCGTGAAAAAGGCGCCATTGACAGTGACATTTCCAGGAAGCCACAGACCTTGTCACCCCCTACAGAATTCTGAAGCTGTTCATAAGCAGGCCACGTGGAAGATTTCTCTCAAAAGCTGTTGAGCATGAGGCTTGGCTAGAGAAAAAAGAGGGCTGCGGCACAATGGACAGTGTCTCAGACATCAGGACAGTTTCCACAGCAGTTTAGGAAAGAAGGCAGCGCCCTGGGCTGCAGAAGGCGCAATGCTCTGGGAAGAACCCTGGGTGCAGCTGAAAGAGGAACTTGAGAAGGATAGGGCCAATCAGTTGAGGACAACCCGCCCGATTTGGGCAAAGGTAAGGTGCCTATGTAGGGTAATACCCTCCTCAATGCTCAGCGCAGACCTGTCCTCTAGGTCCACCTATGTACTCATTCTCCTTGGCAAAGAGTCGGCATAGCATAAGAACTCAGCAGTGCTTTGGACACCGGGAAGTCCACACCGCTCTGCCCCTCCCTCCAGGGCTATGCACCCCGGGTCCCGGTACATGCTGTGATTATAGTTCTGAAGCCTACCGACAAACAGGCTGAGAGCAGTTAACAGACTACAGCTCCCAGCATATTAGGTAGGGCGTGTACCACTCGGCCCCTTCTTCCAGGCCTGTACCTCGCCCCCGAGACTGGCACATGCTGGGATTGTAGTCCTGTAGCCCTTTGACCAAAGGGCTGGGAGTGTTTATAAGAATACATCTCCCAGCAAGCCGAGGGAGACGCACACAGCCCCGCCTCTTTCTCCACTGACGGGCCGTGTCCCTGACCCCAGTGCATAATGGGATGGTAGTCCTGCAGCCCTGTGACACAAGTTCTGGTAGTCTTTATGAAACTACATCTCCCAGCAAGCAGAAGGAGGCATCCACATCCTAGACTTTTCCTCCAGTAATGCGCACTCTCCCTGAGCCGGGTGCATGCTGGGATTGTAGTCCTGCAGCCCGGTGATGAGAGGTCTGGGAGTGTTTATGAGACTGCAACTCCCACCAAGCCCAGAGAGGCGTGCACAACCCTGCCTCTTCCTCCAGTGACGCGCACATTCCCTGCGCCCGGTCCATGCTAGGATTGTAGCGCTGCAGCCCAGTGACCAAAGGGCTGGGAGTGTTTATGAGACTGCATCTCCCAGCAAGACCAGCGAGGTGTGCAGAGCCTCGCCCCTTTCTCCACTGATTAGCGCACTCTCCCTGATCCCGATGTATGCTGGGATTGTAGTGATGCAGCCCAGTGACCAAAGGGCTGGGAGTGTTTACGAGAATACGTATCCCAAAAAGCATAGCGAGAACAGCACAGGTCCACCTCTTCCTACAGTGACGCGCGTTGTCCCTGAGCAGGATGCATGCTGGGATTGTAGTCCTGAAGCCCTGTGACCAAAGGGCTGGGAGAAATAAAGAGACAACATCTCCCAGAAAGCCCAGCAAGGCGCTCACACGCCTTTCTCTTCCTCCAGTGAGGCGGACTGCCCCGGCGCCCCGTGCATGCTGGAATTGTAGTCCTACAGCGATGTGATGAAAGGGCTGGTAGTGTTTATGAGACTACCTCTCCCAGCAAGCCCAGAGAGGTGCGCACAGACCTACCTCTTCCTCCAGTGACTAGTGCACTCTCCCTGAGCCAGAGATATGCTGAAATTGTACTGCTGCAGCCCTGCGACCAAACGACTGGGGTAGTTATGAGACTGCATCTCCCTGCAAGCCCAGCGAGGCACGCACAGCTCCACGTCTTCCTCCAGTGATACACACTGTCCATGAACCCGCTGCATGCTGGCATTGTAGTCCTGCAGCCCTGTGACCAAAGGGCCAAGAGACCACATCTCCCAGAAGACCTAGGGAGACGCACACAGCTCCGCATCTTTTCCCCGTGTCGCATACTGCTTTGATCCCGATGCATCCTGGGATTGTAGTCCTGTAGCCCTGTGACAAAAGGTCTGAGAGTCTTTATGAAACAACATCTCCCAGCAAACGCAGCGAGGTGCGCACAACCTGCCCCTCTTTCTGCAGTGATGTGGACTCTCCCTGAGCCCCGTGCATGCTGGGATTGTAGTCTTATAGCACTGTGACCATAGGGCAGGGAGAGGCCATGGGACTACATCTCCCAGGAAGCCCAGCAAGGCGCACACTGCCCTGCCTCTTTCTCCTTAGACTAGCGCACTGTCACTGAGCTGGGTGCATGCTAGGATTGTAGTCCTGCAGCCTTATGACCAAAGGGATGGGAGTGTTTATGAGAATACATCTCCCAGTACGCCCAGGAGGTGCACACAGCCCTGCCTCTTCCTGCAGTGATTAGCGCACTATCCCTGAGCTGGGTGCATGTTGGGATTGCAGTCCTGGATCTCTGTGACCAAAGGGCTGGGAGCGTTAATGAGACTACATCTCCCAAAAAATCACAGCTAGAAGCGCAAAGCCCTCCCTCTTCCTCCAGTGACGCGCGCTGTCCCTGAGCCCAGTGCATGCTGGGGCTGGAAGTGTAGTCCTTCAGGCCTGTGATGAAAGGGCTGGGAGGTTTTATGAGAATACAACTCCCAGCAAGCCTGGCGAGTAGCACACAACCCCGCCTCTTCCTCCACTGACGCACAATTTCCCTGAGCCCGGTGCTGGCTGGGATTGTAGTCTTCCGCCTCTTCCTCCAGTGACAGGCACTGTCTCTTAGCCAGGTGCATGCTGGGATTGTAGTCTTCCCGCCCTATGACCAAAGGGTTGGGTATGTTTATGAGAATACATATCCCACCAAGTCCAGCGAGGCGTGCACAATCCCGCCTCATTCTGCAGTTACGCGCACTATCCTTGATCTTGGTGCATACTGGGATTGTAGTCCTGCTGCCCTGTAATGAAAAGTCTGGGTGTCTTTATGAAACTACATCTCCCAGGAAGCCAAAGGAGGCGCGCAAAACTGTGTCTCTTCACCCAGGCACATGCACTATCCCTGATCCCGGTGCATGATGGGAATGTAGTCCTGCAGCCCTGTGACCAAAGGGCTGGGAGTGTTTATGAGACAGCATCTCTCAGCAAGCAAAGCAAGGCCTGCACAGCCCCGCCTTTTCCTCCAGTGAGGCGCACTGTTCATTAAGGAGTGTTCATGAGATTACATTTTCCATCAAGCCCAGCGAGTCACGCACAGCTCTACCTCTTCCTCTGCCGGCGCGCACTGTCTCTGATTCCGGTGTATGCTGGAATTGGGGTGCTGCAGCCCTGTGACCAAAGGGCTGGGAGTCTTTATAAGACTACATCTCCCAGCAAGCACAAGAGGTGCTCACAGCCGCACACCACCCTCCCCGCCCCACTCTTCTTTCAGTGACCGCGCACTGTCCCGTGAACCTGGTGCATGCTGGAATTCTCCCGTTGCGGGATTCAGGAGGATGAGAGAGACCCCGGGTTGAAACAGGAGAATTTTTATTGAGTGCACTCAGTGTCAGGCCTCTGAGCCTAAGCTAAGCCATCGTACCTTCTGTGACCTGCACGTACACATCCAGATGGCCGGTTCTTGTTTTAACTGATGACATTCCACCACAAAAGAAGTGAAAATGGCCTGTTCCTGCCTTAACTGATGACATTGTCTTGTGAAATTCCTTCTCCTGGCTCATCCTGGCTCAAAAGCTCCCCGACTGAGTACCTTGTGACCCCCCCACTCCTGCCCGCCAGAGAACAATCCCCCTTTTTCCTTTACCTACCCAAATCCTATAAAATGGCCCCATCCCTATCTACGTTTGCTGACTCTCTTTTCGGACTCAGCCTGCCTGCACCCAGGTGATTAAAAGCTTTTATTGCTTACACGAAGCCTGTTTGGTGGTCTCTTCACACGGACCCCCATGAAACTGAGGACAAGCTAACTCACATCAAAAAGACTGGGCCCGGAACAAAGACAGAACCTGACTTTTATGCACATTTCACAAAAGGTGGTGGGCTAGCTTGAAGCAAGTTTACAGTGGCGTGAAAGCAGGGATACAGAGGCAGGACAGACAGGATTGCACATGACCGTTGCCAAGCAACCCACATGTCCATTTTCTAGGTTTCCCTGGGCATGGGCTTATCCTATAACCCTCACTATGGTGCCCAAACAGCTGTAGTTCAGCCTACTCAGGCTTCTCATGACTTACATTGTACTTCTTAGATAAAACAGAATACTTGAAGTCACTAGTTACAGAGAACAAGAATCTATAAACTCATTCCGTAAAAAAAGGAAATTTGTTTTTCTTTTCCCGATGTTGGGGGAGCGTTGGGAGAGCCTCCAGAGCACATTAGATAATATTATCAAGACTATTCCTGGTTCTGGGCTGTGCCTGTTGAAGCCTCTGGGACAAGTCAGCCCAATACAAGAAAATTTATTTCTCTTTCTTTTTAATTTTATTTTTCTTTAATTTCCCTCCTCAGTCCCACAGCCCTGTGACCAAAAGACTGGGAGTGTATGTCAGGCCTCTGAGACCAAGCCAAGCCATCGCATCCCCCGTGACTTGCACGTATACGCCCAGATGGCCTGAAGTAACTGAAGAATCACAAAATAAGTGAATATGCCCTGCCCCACCTTAACTGATGACATTCCACCATAAAAGAAGTGTAAATGGCCGGTCCTTGCCTTAACTGATGACATTATCTTGTGAGAGTCCTTTTCCTGGCTCATCCTGGCTCAAAAAGCACCCCCACTGAGCATCTTGCGACCCCCACTCCTGCCCGCCAGAGAACAAACCCCCTTTGACTGTAATTTTCCTTTACCTACCCAAATCCTATAAAACGGCTCCACCCTTATCTCCCTTCGCTGACTCTCTTTTCGGACGCAGCCCGCGTGCACCCAGGTGAAATAAACAGCCATGTTGCTCACACACAGCCTGTTTGGTGGTCTCTTCACACGGACGCGCATGAAATGTACAGTTACGCTTCTGTTCACTTGTCATGAGACTGTTTTCTTTTACCCCCATGAACGTACTTACCATAGCTTCTTTCAAATCTTATCTACTGATTACAGCATCTTGCACATCTTGAGAATAGGTTCTATTGTCTGCTTTTTATCTTGTGAATCGATTACACTTTCATGCTTCTTCACACATCTCATGAATTTTTAAATTGTGTGATAGGAACTACAGGGACTCTGGATTCTGTTGTATTTCTTTGAAAATTATTATTTTAAGAGGGAGTTAATTTGAATAGATTCAAACCCCAATCCTTATCTCTTCCACAGTGGCATAGATAAAATCTTCATTCAGTCTTCTAAACAGTGTGCCTTTCTATATAGCAAAATATAGTATTTTATTAAGCTTTATTATTGTTATCTGTGAAATAGTTATTCAACGAACTAGTCTACTTCATTATTACTGGAAACCAGAACCTCAGTTGTGTTCACTTTCTGGATTTTATATAAGTGAAATTATATAATATGTATACTTTTACATCTACTTTCTTCTAGGCAACTTTATATTTATGATATTAATTCATGCTATTGCAGATAGCTATAGTTTGTTTATTTAAAAAATATTTTTTACATTTTGGCAAAGTATACATAAAATTAACCATCTTAACTATTTTAAGTGTTCAGCTCAGAGAAATTAACTACACTCACATTGTTTTGCAACTATTATTCCCATTCATAAGGATCTTTTTTCAACTTCCAAACCAAAATTCAATACACATTAAATAACAGCTCCCTGTTACTCCCCCTCCAGCTCCTAGGAACCACTCTTCTACGTGGGTTTCCAGAATTTAACTACTCTAAGTATCTCATAAGTGGAATGATACAGTATTTGTCCTTTTATGACTGGCTCATGTCACTTTGCACAATGTCCTTAAGGTTCATGCATGACGTACCATGTGTCAGAATTTCCTTATTTTTCATAACTGAATAATATCCCACTGTATGTATAAATCACATTTTATCTATTTATTCATTGATGATAATTCAAACAACACAGGTAATTCAAAAACCTTTTGAGTGATGTGAGTCATGCTGCTATGAGCTTAGGTGTACGTGTATTATTTTGTGTCTTCGCTTTCACATCTTTTGCAACATACCAAGATGTGAAATTGCTGGATCATACGGTGATTTTGAGTGTAAATTATTTCGTTACTATGGTGTTGTTTTATAGCAGCTGCAGCATTTTACATTTCCACCAAGTGTACAAGGGTTCTAACTGCTCCACTTCCTCACCAACACTTGTGATTTTCTGTTTTTTTTTTCTTTTTGTACTAGTTATGCTGATGTGCATTAAGTGATATGTCATTTGGGGTTAGATTTTCATTTTACTAATGAAAATGAAAAGGTTTTGTTGAGTACCTTTTCATGGGCTTATAAGCCACTTCACATAATTTTTAGAGAAATATCTGTTTAAGTATTTTGCCCATATTTTAAACAAGTAGTTTATTATTGCTGAATTGTTCTTTGTATATTCTGGATAGAGTCCTCTTTATCTATTTTTCTTTTGTTTCTTGCATTTTTGGTGTCCTGTTAAAAGAAATCACTGCGAAATCCAGCCTTATGACGTGTTTTACCTACATTTTATACTAAGAATTTTGTAGTTTTAGCTCTTACATTTAGGTCTTTGATCCAGTTAGTTAATTTTTTCTTATAGTAGAAGTTAAGGGCCCAGCTTCACTCTTTTACATGTGGGCACCCAATTTCCCCAGCACTAATTGTTGTAAAGGCAGTTCATTTCCCATAAAAATCATTTGACCTTATATATGAGGGTTTATTTATATGGGCCTTCTATATTACTCCATTAGTCTCTTTGTAGCATGCTATTTTGGAATTTTGTAGTAAGTCTTGAAATCATTAAGTGTGACTTGTCTAACTTTGGTATTTTTTTCAAAATTATTTTTGCAATTTAAAGATCTTTGAGATTCCCCATAAACTTAAAAATTGATTTTTTAATATCTACACAAGAGTAATTGGCATTTTACTTCTTCGTTACTTCCTAACTACTTTATTCTTTTGATACTATTGTAAATTGAATTGTTTTCAGAGTTTTCTTCTCAGATTATTCATGTTACTACATAAAATGCAGTTTGTTTTTGTATGTTGATTTTGTATGCTACTATTCAGCTGAATTTATTAGTTGTAATATTTTTTGGTGGAATCTTAAAGATTTTCTACATATAAGAATATATTTTCTGTACACATTTTGATGCAGTTTATTTCATTGTCTTTTTTAATTTCTCTGAATGAAACTTCTAATACAGTGTTGAATAAAAGTGGCTAGCAAGAGCAGATATTCACTCTGTCTTCGGAGCTTAGAGGAAACACTTTTGATCTTTTCCTCTGGAATATGTTGTTTGCTGTGGGTTTTTATATGTGAATTTTACAAAGCTGGTTTCCTTTTATTCCTAATTTATTGTTTTTATTATAAAATATTTTGAATTTTGTAAAATACGTTATCTGTATTAATGAGAGAATACTTTTTAAAAAGTTTGTCAATGTGGCATATGCATTGATTAATTTTCATATGCTTAAACTTTTGTTAAGAAAGGCTAGCTAAGTGAACCAGTGAGACTGGAAAAAGAATAAAGAAATCTATACTGGTTGTGATCAATTATTTGTAAACACCACTGCACTGAAACCACCCATATGCTAAAACTTCCTTTCATTCCAATAATAAACTCCCCTTGGTCATGGGTTGTAATCTTGCTAGTATGCTGCTGAATGTAGTTAGCTAGGATGTTGCTGACTAGTTTTGCATCCGTGTTCATAAGGGATATTAGTCTATGGGTTTTTGTAGTATCTTTGTCTGGCTTCGGTATGAGCTAATGGTGGCTTCATGGAATAAGTTTGGAACTGCTCTCTTCAGGCTTTTGGTAGACTTTGGAAAGGATTTTTGTTCTATAAATGCTTGATCTAAATCACTAGTGAAGCCAACAAAATAAGGGCTTTTCTTTATGAAGAGGCTTTTAATTACTGATTCCATTTCCTTAGTAGTTTTGTATCTATTCAGATTTTGTATTTCTTTGTAATCAAGTCTTGTATACCTAGGAATCTGCCCACTTTATCTACGTTTTCCAATTTATCATCCTATCATAGTTCACAGTACAGTTTTTTAAACATTTTAATTCTTTGAATTAGTAGTAATGTCCCACTTTCATTTCTCATTTTAGTATGTGAATATGCTGTTAATTTTTTGTGTGTGTAGCTGAAAGTTTGCCAATTGTTAATTTTTTGAAGAAGTGAGAATGAACTTTTGGTTTTTTGGAATTCTGTGGTTTGTATAATCTCCATTGCATTTATCTCTGCTAAAAGCTTTAATATTTTCTTCTTTCTCTTTGCTTTGCATCTAATTTGGTGTTATTTTTCTAATTTACTAGGTGATAAAGTTATTATTTATTTGAAATCTTTGTTCTTTTTAAATGCATTTTAGCTGCAAACTTTACATCTTAGCACTCTTTTTGCTGTTTCCCTTAACTTTTGATGTGTTTTGTTTTCATTTTTCTTCCTCTGTAAGTATGTTCCAACTTCCTCTGTGATTTCTTCCTTTACTTATTTGTTGTTTAAGGGTATGTTGTTTAATTTATACAGTTTTGTAAACTTTCTAACGTTTCTTCTGTTATTGATTTAATTTGAGATCTACTACACAGCCCATCGTGGGGAAATCCCCATGTGCATTTGAGAAGAGTGTGTAGTCTCTTTTGTTGGATGGAGTATATTGTATATATCTGTTAGATCAATTTGGTTCATTGAGTTATTCAAGAACTCTATTTCCTAATTTATCATCTATCTCATTTTTCTATTCATTACTCAGAGTGGAGTATTAACATCTTCAACTATTATTTTAGAACTGCCTTTTTGCCCCTTTAATTCTGTCAAGTTATGCTTTCTATATCTCAATGTTTTATTATTAGGTATGGGTTTAAACTATTTCTATCTTCCTGCCAAATGGACAATCTATGACTATATAATGTCTTATTGTCTCTTTTAAGTTTTTAAGTCTATTTTGTCTGCTATTAATATAGTCATTCCCAGTCTCTTTTTCATACTATTGGTATAAAATAATTATTTTCTTCCTTTTTTTTTATAACCCTCAAGTCCTGTGGAAGGCTAAGAGCAGCATTACTTAATTTAAAAAGCAGATAAATCTTAAATCCATAGTTTAATATTTCTAAAAGCATTTAAATGGAAATGAGCTACGCAGTCTACCAGGAACGAAGGATATCAGTTGGGTCTAAGAATAATCATGTCAAAAAGCTCTAGGAGGAAAAGCTGCTGGGAATTAAGACTGTGATAACGGTCTTTGGGATCAAGAAGGAAATGGGGAATTGGGGATGCTCAAGGTCAGGTACATGCTTAGCAAAAGACCCAGAAAACCCTAAGCTCTCACCTCTGCATTTTAAACTCTGCACAAGTAGAAAGTAGAGGCTCAAGGAGAGATGTAACTTTATGCTGATTGGTAAAGGCATGCTCCAACACACATACATAGATCTCAGGTGAAAAAATCAGATATTTATGTTTAGTGAGAGTTAAAAAATCTGGAGTCTTACTTTCCAATTAAGGTTTAGTGAAAATATTTGGGGAGATTTGCATTGATCAATTCATCCTGAGGTCAAGAAAATCTTGATTTTGGCATTTGGAGCCTCTAGTAAAGGACTAGCCTCCTCCCAGAGGTGTTCTTTGGGCTTTTGGACTCAGTGACACACTACTGGTTACACTGATTTGAAAGTCAGCTAAGAGCTTGCTGCAGAACTCCTGACAAACTCAGTTTCACCCATAGAGGGCTAGAGCATCCCCAGCTGGTTGAAATTTTATGCCTCCTTCTATCCTCTGAAGCAAAGATGCTGTCTCTGTGGGGCCCCCAATTTACTGAGTGTTTCCTATATGACTGGTCCTGGTTCATAGATGAGTCAGGGAAGGTGAAACCTCATGATGTCCACTGGGCTGCTGTGGCTGTTTAACCTGTGCCAGCCATACAGAACCTGACATGAGTGGTTGCTCCTCTCAAAGGTCAGAACTCAGGGTTTGGGATAATGGCACATATTCTATCTGTTTGGTTATCTACAATGGAAACTGTAGACTGTCTGAATATCTTTTGGGCTGCAAACTGGAGACAATCTCAGATGCTGATCTAACTGGATCACTCATCTAGAAGTCCATGGTAAGGGTTTGTTTTCTAGAGAGTGACAACAATCAAGCTGCAGATTGAACCTAAATCTGTGTCTAACGCAGAGTCTAATACTGCAAACCAGACTTGGGGTTGCTGGTGAAAGTTGACCTATTTGTCTCATGGTTGAAGAATTCCTAGACCATACCAAGCAGAGTAACCAGAAGTGGACTTTTGGCCCACTTCTTGAGATATCAGTCACCACTCTTGACATCTTCAGCATAACAGTATGCCGACACCATCCATACCATGTGTCCCGTGAAGCTAATCTGTGCCATCTTTTAGGCTTTTGAGACCAATTGAGCTCTGACTTCGCGGCATTTTTCACCACACGTACTAAAACAAGCCAACTCTATGATGTTCCCTCCTTTTCCACACATGCTGGTTAGATAATTTGTTGATTAGGTATGGTTTATTTTCTCTTCCTGATTGCCTCCAAGATAAGGATGAAATGTTTGGGGGATCTAGGAATCATCTAGGAATCTATTTCACAAACTTGGAATTTCGTGCTAATAATTCCTGGGTGAAATGTGACTTTCTTTCCCATAACTGCAATTCTAGGCAAGCCTGGCTTTTGTATCCTCTGAGTTGCATCTCAGCCTAGTAGCAGTTATGGGACTCCAACTTAGTTCCAGCTAAGTTTTATGTAAATATTCTTGTCTCTATTTTACCTGGCTCTAGTAGATAAAGTGTCTAGAAAAAAGTAGAGGGCGACTAGAATAAAGATGAGATTATAGGTACCGGAATGAGACACACTGATTCTGTGGAAGTAGTGGGAGAACAACCTGGAACCTGGGGTATGAACAACACAGACCTCGGAAGCTACGGGAAACGGTGGGACATTAACAACTTTTTTTCTTTCTGAACAACCCCTGGTGCAGCCCACAGAAAGGTCTGGAAATACTATTAGTTAGATCAGACGGTAAGGCAGAGGCTGTGGATTCATCTCCTTTTGGTCCCCACATTACTCTTAAGAATCCTTTGAGACTATTCTATCTCTCCGTGATGTAGGCATGGAACTCTAGTGGGCAGTGTGCACTCTCGGTGCCCATGGTTCCAGGCCACAGTTTTTCAGATGATGGACAACAATTGCTTTTTCCTGAAGAGACTTAGTACCCTGTGGCTGAGCTTAAGCGGGACTCTAGACAGCATTGATTGCATTTTCTTCTTCCTCTACGAACTGGGATTTCTCCTTCTGTTTTTCTACTGCCTAGAGGTGAATCTGTATTTGTCAATATTTAGGTAAATCAGAGACATAAATCAGGTAAGGAACCCTAGACACTGCTTCTAGGCTAGCTGGACTCTTGCCTATTTCCCTTCTCACTTTATGAGATCAATTATATTGGCACAGGTTGATACCCTTAGATAGTGTCTCTAAGGAGCAATTAGAGAAGCATACTTCTAGAGAAGCTGGTAGGACAGGGCAGGAGGGCCAATGAGGATCAAAGTTTCTGTCCAAATTTTTGAGCCTAGGTGTGTGTGGCCGACGAATCCAGGAAAGATCCCAGATCCCTGGAAGGGATTGTTAAGAGAGGATCCATTAGATTAGAATGCTAGGGTGGGTGTTCATCCGTCGCCTTCTGAGTGGGATTTTCAGGGTTAAGACTGAGGTAGGGCTGCAGAGAAATGCTATCCTGGGAAAGCCTCTGATCGAGTGCAACATAGGTGGCTCCAGCACAAGGAGAAGTCCTCTATTTGAGGAACATTATACTTGTGTGGATGTGTCTGTGCTCTTCCTCAGCAGAGCCCCACTGACTGAATGATTGTTTGAGAATTATGAGTAAAGAGCCCTATATTATTTTGAATTTAGTAAATATTGGAAGAGAAACAAACAATATTATCTACTTTCAAATTGAATAACAGCATGAGCAACTTTCAGGAAAATGTCACAGGAGGAAACTCCAGGGCCTTGCTCATCCCTGGAAACCTTGAAAATCCTGATGCAACCTGTAGGGTTAAACTTATCAATACTTAATTTTTTGCCATATAGATTTATCTTCATAAAAAATATTTTCATTGGACCTTCATTTTGATATATGCCATGAAGAATAAATCATTTATTTCCTTTGTGATAAGAACATCACATTTTTACACCTCATGTATAAATGATGCCATCACCCATGTAGTTTTTATTGCTATGGCCTGAATGTTTATGTCCCCTTTCAAATTCATGTGTATAATTTTAGGCGTGAGGCCTTTGGGAAAGTGGTGAAGCCAAGAGTTCTTCATCTTCATGAATGGAATCAGTGCTCTTTCAAAGGAAGTTGAAGGGAATGCCCTTGTCCCATGTGCGAGATGGTACCATCTATGGGGAATAGGGCTCTCACCATATACGAAATTTGCTGCTGCCTTGATCTTGCACTTTCCAGACTCCATAACTGTGAAAAATACATTTCTCTTATTTATCCTTTACCCAGTCTAAGGTATTTTGGTATAGCAGCCAAGATGCACTATGACACTTTCTTAGACACTTTGGTTTATTTCTGAATTTTTAGTTTCAGTGATCCATGAGTTTTTTAATCAATCAAGATTTTACACAGGGCTTGCCAGTGGTTTTTTTTTTTTTCAGAGTTTTCTTGTCTATTCTTGTTTGTGTTTTCATCTATATAACATTTTATAGTAACGTGTACTTGCAATATTTAATGGTATCAGTATAGGAACAAAATTGAATTTATAAATAACTATAAGGACAATTGATGTTGATAATATTGAGTTTTTCTGCCTAAGAATATGATACAAATTGTCTATTTGCTTATGTCTACATTCATATATTTCATAAACTTTCTATGTTTTTTCCATATTCCGTAGATATTTTTGTAATATTTATTCCTAGTTTATTCTGCTAAAAAGTAATTTGAGACACAATGAAATTGCAAAGTGTTTATTTGAGTAAGAGCAATTGATAAATTATAAAATATCAGACGGAAAGATATTGAGTGCTTCATTGACAGTGTAAGAAGCAAGTATTTATTTGAAAAATGTAGAAACAAAGAAATCATTTGGTGGTAGCACAACTTTTTTTATTGTTTTTTGTTTGTCTGTTTACCTTGTTGGACAGTTTCTATTTATATAAGGTTGTTGGCTACTTCTGACTGGTTGAGCTTCATTTCTCTTTTTTCAATATGCAGCTACAAGAAATAATTTAAGTTTTGTTTGTATTTGCAAATCAAGCGAGGTTGAGATCACTTATGAGACCTAACTAATTTTGTCTGCTCAGAGATTATTGAGACATGATCTCCATTTTAATTTCCTTTAACAAATTTTCTGTACTTTTACTTTCCATCCAAACAGTAACTTATAAATTATTATTGTTGTACATATGTAGGCCCATGTTGTGTATGCTTTGAAGACCTGTCCTGCATTCAAACTCATTTGTATTATGTTATTATTGAATTTGCCCCATTTATTGGAATTATAAACTGCAATCCCCCAACTACAAGAGGTATGAGCTCTGATGAGATAAGAGTAAAGATGAATCAGAAGTGAAAACAGTCCTCCAACCCACACATGCAGTAAAAACAAATTTCACATGAATACAATGAGTAATTATCTAAAATTTAAAGTACCCTGAAAACATTAATGTTTATCTCATTATTATGTAATATGGAAATTACAAGGCAAAAAAATCCAAAGACTTACTGTTTAAATATAATTGAAGTTTTTTATATGATGAAGTGCTCCATAATTTAAATGTAAAAAGCCAATAGGAAATATATGAAATAAAATAAAATTATACGTAAAAGTGACAATGCCTCTATTAGATTTAACAGTATCTTACAATAGAATAAGTTGAAACCTACAAAATGGAAGAAAGTTTAAAATTAGGCAGATATTATCAGCCTGGTGAAGAATAAATACATATGTCAATAAGCATTTAATGTATTTTGTCTTAGATTTTACATGAAATAATAAAAAGTAAGCAAACCAATAGCATGGTAGTTTCACCCTGATTGATTCAAACTGAAAAAATATTAACATTTCTCCATGAGAAGTTGGATTCATGGATTGGCCTCATGCTGCATTCAAGGCACTTTAGCCAGGATCCAACACTCATTGCCAAGAGTCAGCAGGCTAGAAGTTTGCTTTTAAGATGTTCCCCGGCCTGCGACCAAGACGCTTTTTCCTGACTACTTCTTCAACTCTGACATAGGTTTTGCTGATATAAACGCAAACCCGGCTCTATACCTACCAAGTATCTACTTGGCTAGAGCTGCAAATGGAGCATTTAGGCACTAGGCAAGAGCTCTTCCCACGTTTCCAAGCACACTTTCTAGAATTTCCCAAAACTACTGACATTGTCTTTCAGACCCCATCTCCCAAAGAGAATCAGAGAGATGGTCTGGAAGCCATTTAGAATCTCCAGCCTCCAACCTAGTAACAATGGACTTGGATACAAAGACGCAACCTACTGACCTCAAAGACACCAGCCCAGATTCTGGGCATTGAATTCCTGCCTCCCCATGAAAGATCTCAACTGAGTCACATCAAAGCCCACACTCTTCTTCAAGGTTCACCTTCCAGACACGCTCCAAAACAGTCCCTCAGAATTGTCTTGAGATGAAACAAAAGGTGATGAAGGTCCAGGTTTGGAATGCCTGCCTCATTCTTCACTCCTGAAAAGTCTACACCTGCTGGTTAGCACTCTCATATGTTAGGGAGCCCGGGCTCTGAGTGCATCCTTTAACAGGACCTCCTGGCCTTTTCCTACTTGGAGTAGAGTGCCCAAGAATAATAGGGAATACAAGGCCTCCACTCTCACATGGCTTGATTGACTGATGAACTGATGTCGGAGGAGGAAACATATGTAGGGAACAGCCTGGGTCTTGTGAATCCGTTTCCCAGCTATGATGCCTGTGCAAATGGAGGGAGAATCGTCAAGTATTATTGGGTGGTAGACAGACACTGCCTAATAAAATTAAGTAAATGTAAGGTGACTTGAAGGGGAATTTATCATATGTCATATACAAAATTTTAGTTGGTCAACTTTATTTAAAAACAGTCACAATTTGTAAGGGCATTCAAATATAATTTTAATAGGGAGCTATGAAAATTATCTGCACTTGCTATGTAAGTGATTGAGTTAGGGGTAACTATCTGAAGGTCATGAGCTTGATATCTGCTACTTAATTTCATAAGACATTTACTTGCAAATGGTTGCCATTTTTGCTCTCACTATATGAAAATTTTTTCTTGCAAAGAGCATTCCTATGAAAGAAAAACTAGAAATTTTGCCAATTTCGGCTATTAAAACGATAAAACTGGTTTGTTTGTTATTCTTAACCAAATGCTCTTACAGATGACACATAGTACCCATGCTTTGATTGTTTTTTGTTTTTCTTTTCACCTTAGGTCAATTGCCTTTCATTTTATTTATCAAACTGTATTTACTGTAGATAGACATTGCAGTTCTCATGTGCCCTATGGATTTGTACTTTCTTAGAAGTATGAAAAAATTCTCAGGCTGAGTATATTGGCTTATGCCTGTAATCCCAGCAATTTGGGAAGCCGAAGCAGGTGGATCACCTGAGGACAGGAGTTCAAGACTAGCATGGTCAACATGGTGAAACCCCATCTCTCTACTATTCACAGTTCACATTGTACCTTGCAATGAATATACATTTTATCCAAAAAGGCTAAAAAATAATGAAATTGGGGTGGAAATGGCTGGAAGTATAGGTGAAACAAAAATGACACATGACTAGTAGCTGTTAAATCTGGGTGACTGGTCTGTTATCCTTTTTTTGTATTATGTATACGTTTTTAATGTTCTGTAATAAAACACGTGTAGAAAATGACAAAGTTTATCTACACTTAGCTCTTAAGGTCTTGGTTACCTTTGGGAAGGAGAAAGTGTCAAGGGCATGAGCAAATCTGATTCTTACATACACAAGTGTATTTATTTAGTAATAATTCATCAAGCATTCCATAAATATTTTGTTCCTATATTGCTGTATGCATGTTATTCATCAATAAATATTTAAATAGTACATATTTGCATAACAATCCTAAATTAATATTTTAGAATAATAGTAATGTTTTGTTTTGTTTTAAAGTGGGGCGTGTTCACTCAGGACATCGTCAGGTGTATATTAATGTTCCAAGATATTTATTTACGTTTTAACTTTTGGAAGAGTCCCCTAGGTCTTTTAATTTTTACCTCAGTACAGTAAGTAGCATGGTTTTAACTTTTTGGATTGCAGCTTTGTTTTCAGAAAGGTTCTCCCCGAAGAATGATGCTCACCCCGGCCAGCGCACACAGCACAGTGACCCGTGCACAGGATGCACTGAGCACACACGGCACTGGGTGAACCATGAACAGAAGGACAAGCCAGCCTGGGTCTGCAAAATATACTTTGCAGGAAAAGCAGGTAAAATTGAAAGGTCACAATTCAGCAGCAAACGTTTTTACATTCATTTGAGAAATCATTTCTAACAAAAGCTGCTCGTTAAAGCCATGGTTTTCTGGCTTGCCTACACATTGTAATCACCTGCACAACTTTCAACCGTATTTTTTTCAGATCCAGCTCCAAGGATTCTGATTTAGTTGTGCGGTTACAACTTGGGTTTAAGGGATTTTGATAGTTTTCCTCCCCGCAGGTGACTCTCTTGCGCCAGGGGTAAGAAGCGCTGGATAGGGGTGAGGGGTGCTTTAGCTGTGAGAGATAGCCATGTACGCTTCAGGATTTGCCCCATCGCATATCTGGAGTTCGGGGTCTTAGAAAATATTCTTGCCCTGTTAAAAATTAAAGGATGGCTTCAATACAAATTTAGCTATTTGGCTACGTTGCAGAAAAAGAAAATGCCTTTCCAGAGATCAGTTTTTTGAGTCAGAGTTTTGTTCTGTCAGTGAGGCTGGAGTGCAGTGGTGTGATCATGGCTCACTGCAGCCTTGACCTCCCAGGCTCAGGTGATCCTCCAGCTCCAGCCTTCTGAGTAGCTGGGACTGAAGGCATACACCAGGCATGGCTAATTTTTCAATTTTGTTGTTGTTGTTGTTGAGATGGCTTTCTCTATGCTGCCTGGGCTAGTCTCAAACTCCTTGCCTCAAATGATCCTCCCACATCAGTCTCCCAAACAGTTCAACCTACACGAACAGGCAACCATGCCTGGTGTATTTATTAAAATGTAGCTACTAGAATATTTAAAATTCACATGTGCCTCACATATTATTTCTTAGAGAATTGCCTCATTTTTGAAATCTCAGGCTGCCTGCTCTAAAACCTGGATGTGCCAGGAAAGTAAAACATCTGAAATTTTAAAACAATTGTCATTATATTGCTTCCATGTATGAATAACACATATATATTTTTCATAAATACAAATAATCTTACACACAAATGAAAATGCAAGTATTTTACAGGCAGGGCCAGTGTCCAGTGCATGAAGGAAGCCCTGCCAGAAAAGGATCCAGGAAAAACTTATAATTCTTGCTTTATTCAATCCAGTGTCAAATCACATATGTCACTCATGGCCTGAGGGGGCTTGGTGGGGAATTGAACTATATCCAATCATGGGTGCTGGAGTGGAAATTATCTAATCAGGTGCACAGCTGGAGAAGAATGGGCAGCTTTTTGGATCTAGGGATGCCTTTGCCTGTCTCTCTACTCAGAGCTCAGGACACTAGAGCCACCTCAACGCAATTGCCTGTTTTTTAGTTGTTTTAATGCTCCAAAAGAGAATTAGTTTTCTCATGCATTTTCCAAATGTGTGGCAAGAAGAGCCTCAAATCTACCACCCTGTTACCCCAGCCTAACTCTGGCTTGCTGTCAGAGTTTAAATTTCCAGTTCTTTCCTGACACTTACCAACACTAACTAACCTTGTGTAACTCACAACATTATCAACTGTTCTTTATTGTACATTTTAGACACAGTATTTTAATTCTGCATTTTTTCAAAAAGCAGTGGATGACACTTAAAAAAATATTTTTCATTTGTAAACATTTTACAGGACATGAAAGCAGATAATAATCCCCTGACAATCCACAGTAAAAAAAAAGAAAAGAAAAGAAAAGAAAATATTTGTGCCCCTTTCTTTAATCTTCCCTTGGCACAGACACCCCATCAGAATGTTTTTGGGTTGAGGTTTCATTTCAGAAACCTCACAGGGCAATACATCCTCAGCCATCTTGTGTTATTTTCTTGGTTTTGGGTTTCAAAACTGTTTGAGAATCCCCAAGATACCAACACTGGCCATGACTCTTGAAGTGTCTAGTAAATAACATCCCTTGTGTCATCTCCTCTCAGGGAACAGCCCAAGGTATGGGAATGCAGCCTCTTTTTGGAGTGGTTGGATGCACTATACCTGGAAGGAATCTCCACGTATACATTTGCGCTAAAAGCAAACCCTTTAGGACATTAAGAATTTCTTACCCCAACGCTTAGTTTCCATTCCTTAGAGACACATTGCATGCCAGGCAACTGGATGCTGAATAGTGAGGAAAAAATGTCCTCAGATTGGTGAAGGGAGAGAAAATATTTCAAAGGACAAAGAAACCCAACCTAGTGAGGCAGTGCAAAAACCTGCAAAGTAAAATGCACCTCACAGACACAGTGGAGCAGAGCGTAGCAGCTCCTGGTAGGACGCTCATGACCCACATCACTGAACCAGATAGAAGCAGGGAAAATATCCCAAGTAATAGAACGGCTTGACTTGACCCTTGGGTCAGATATGTCTGTGTTTCAATCACCATTGTCACCTTCTAATTTTGTCACCTTGAAAATATGATTGTATTTATTTTAACTTCACTTTTTCATTAACTGTAAATTATGTTTTATCAGTAGAGCTTCAAAGGTATGAGAATATTTATAAAGCACATTAAGTTGGTGAATTTTGAATAAAATTAAGTAGTAATGTATTTCATTTGTTAAAAATTGTTACTTACCTATTTCCTCAGCAGAATGAGTGTAGCATGTCTCCCAGGTCTGTTTTTTATTTGTTTGAGAGGTGATTTCAAGCAGAATCTCACAGCTTACTGTTGGAAATGCTATCAGTTGTAAAGATAGGGAAAATCTCTCTTCCACTACGGTGGTAGGAAATGAATACATATCTGCAAGCACATGAGGTAGATTAATTGTCAAATTACATAAATTTATCACATAAGTTATTCTTTTTTTCAAAAGAGAGAACTTGTGAAAGTGAATAACTCTATTCCATATGCTGCCATCTGGGTGTTTGAGGGTAATGTTAAGTTTTAGGAGCTGGGACTTTGCACCTCCTGGAAGTGTTCACATATGATTAATTGTTTACTAAATGATTTGTTTTGAACATAATTAAATTACATGTTTATTTTCTGAAAGGGATAGATACTTTGGCTTTTCTTGATGAATTATAAGATATAAGCCCCTTATAATGTTTTTATTTTATTTTATTCTGTTATTTTTTAGATGTAGTTTCACTCTTCTTGCCCAGGCTGGAGTGCAATGGCAAGACATCTGCTCACTGTAACCTCCAACTCCTGGGTTCAAGCGATTCTCCTGCCTCGGCCTCCCGAGTAGCTGGGATTACAGGCATACAACACCACACCTGGATAATTTTGTATTTTTAGCAGAGACGGGGTTTCTTCATGTTGGTCAGGCTGGTCTCAAACTCCTGATCTCAGGTCATCTGCCCGCCTAGGCCTCCCAAAATGTAGGGATTACAGGCATGAGTCACCATGCCCGGCTGTAATTTCCTCTCTTTTATATCTTAGATTTGAATAATTTTTGCTGGATTCTTCAAACATGAAGTATTTTTTGAATTGAAAACTAACTGAATGACTAACTGGTAAATAGAAGTCTTAGACCATTGACTAAAAGCTAAGGCCCACCTTGACCCTGCAAAAGAGGACCACTGAAGGCCCAGTTGATTATTCCTGGGTGTCTGCCCTGCAGGTGTCCAAGCCTACTCACACCAACCATGGAAGGAGCCTTTGTCACTGCCAGAAGATATAGAGCCTTGGTAAGCTGGAAGTTCACAGGCAGATGCAGTTGAGGTTGAGATAGAAGAAATGTTGGGAGATTCTTTTTAGAATGGAATTGTTATTGTCCTCAGACTGTTTCTAGACTTGGTCTAAGAAGTTACCTAAGAAGTATTGCAACAAAGAAAAAGTACAAATGATTAGATCTTTGAGTATCTCTAAGGTTAGGTGGAAAAGGGCCTTATTTCATAGGGAGGAGAAAACAAGTTTACAAAGAAGGTTGGAAAGGAAGCACACGATGGAGGGTAGCAAAATGCGATCCCAGATAAGATAATGTTTCACCTTGAACTCAGCCTGTTCTTAGGAGGGGTATGTATAAATAAGGGTTGTAGGTTTGCTGAAGCTGTGGGTGAGTCAAAGTTCAGGGGCTGGTTGGAAGAAGAGAAACAAGCAAAGTTTCTTTAAGAGTATGTTATTTGGACCACTGAAGACTAAATTACTGAATGGTTGTTCATTTTTAAAAATGGGAATTTGCAATCTGTGTCCATTTTTGTGATAGGTTAAAAAAACAGCAGGGAGCATCCTCAAAGTCATCAGGGGAAGCACGTTTCTCTTCACTAAGCTGTTCTTTGAGAATGCAAAGAATGGGGGAATTTCTTTAAATATAGCTATTTCCAGGATTGCCTTCACCCACAACTGTTCCTTGCCCTAGACATCTCTTCCATTTGGCTGTTTCTGAGTTATATTTTTATAATAAAGTAGTAAATATAATTACAGTTATTTGTTGAGGTTTTCTTTTTAGTAATTCTATCAAATTATTTAACTTGAAAAGGGGTTTATGCTAGTCTCAGATTTATAGGAGGTAGCTCAGAAGTGTAGATGGGCTTCAGGGATGTGTAACTCTCCTCTACAGTGAGAGGGGTGATGTGGGACTGAGCCCTGAATTTCTGGGATCTGTGTGAACTCTAAGTTGTGTCAGAATTAAATTTTGGGGCAACAAATGGGTGTTGGAGAAGCAGTGGGTTTTCAGGGAACTTTACACATTTAGGATCAAAAGTGTTGTAAGGAGAAAGACAATGTGGGGGCCTCTGCTGGAGAGAGACTCCAGGTGTCTCGGGGAAGGTAGGCTCTGCTCTGCACACAGGCTGCTACACCATGCACTGCCCTGTGGTTCCAGGCATTCTCCCATGGTAAGAAGGACCGACGACTCTGAGGGAAGAAGTTCTGAGAACAGATGCCTTCTACCCTCCTGCCAACCTGAGGCCACCACAGGTTTTTCACCCACTGAACATACACACTGCATGTTGATGTGGCCAAGCCCCTCTCAGGACAAGGCTTTGGCATCAAGATTGTTGCCCATGCTACCTTTCCTCATAGACTTTCCCACCAAAAACCCACACATGTGCCTACAAGACCCCTGGCATACGTTCTACCTCAGACACCGAATCTGCAGGGGCAACCTGGTTTTTTCACCATCCCAGGTTTCTGTGCCACCTGATCATAATCTCGTCTTCCTGCATGGACACAGAAATAAGTCAGAGTAAAGTTTCACCTGGGTCAGTATCTGTAGCATGAACCAGTCCTTCCACCAACCCTGTACTGTCTCCCAACTGTGGGTTCTTAATAGCACCTTCCCCTCTTTTACCTTTTAGTTCACCTCAAACCTTTTATTTACGTGCACTTAGTGTGTCCAAGCCACCCCTCAGTTGCCTGAATCCAGCACCTACTAAAATTCAGATGTCCAGTAGTTCAAGACCATGGGCCTAGACCATGTTTTTGCAGAAGGAAATACATATTAGAAATGAGAGGCTCTATTCTCCCATTTGAAAATTAAAAAAGATATTTTTTCTTTTCCCTTTTCTTAAACAATGTAATTTAGAGAACTTTTTTTAGTAATTTTTTGAAATGGAATCTTACTCTTTTGCTTAGTCTGAAGTGCAATGGCATAATCATAGCTCACTATAACCTTAACTTCTTGGGTTTGAGCAGTCCTCCTGCCTCAACCTCTTAATTACCTAGGACTATAGGCATGCACCTCCAGGCCTAGCTAACTTTTTATTTATTTATTTATTTATTTATTTATTTATTTATTTATTTTTTCAAGACAGTGTCTTGCTCTGTGGGCCAGGCTAGAGTGTAGTGGCATGATCTTAGCTCAATGCAACCTCCGCCTCCCAAGTTCAAGCAATTCTCTTGCTTCAACCTTTTGAGTAGCTGGCATTACAGGCGCACAGCACCATGCCTGGCTAATTTTTTATTGTTATTATTTTTAGGAGAGAAAGGGTTTCACCATTTTGGCCAGGCTGGTCTCGAACCCCTGACCTCATTATCCACCTGCCTCCGACTCCCAAAGTGCTGGTATTACAAGCGTGAACCACCATGTCCAGCCATATTTATTTTATTTATTTTTTTATGGTGACAGAATTTCACCATGTTGCCTGTACTGGACTCAAACATTTGGCTTCAAGAGATCCTCCTGCCTTGGCCTCCCCAAATGTTGGGATTACAGGCATGAACAGCCGTGCCTGGCCTGGAAAACTTTTATATGTATCTTTTTTTCTCTGCTTCTTTGAAATATAAGCAAATCATTTTAACAGCTAAATAAGCCTTTTGCCACTCTTCATGACACAGAATTGTCTTTGTCTAAGACCTGGAAACTATTGTTTTGTTTTTTAATTTGGCAAAGATTTATTGATTTTTTATTTTCAGTCTTTTGAAGTAGGCACAGCTCAGTACAGTGGCTCATGTTTTTAATCCCAGTGCTTTGGGAGGCTGAGATGAGAGAATTGCTTGGGCCCAGGAGTTTGAGACCAGCCTGGGCAGCCTAATGAGTCTCCTTCTTTATAAAAAATTAAAATCAACTAGCAGGGCATGGTGGCACAGGAGGCTGAGGTGAGAGAATCATTTGAGCCCAAGAGTTTGAAGCTGCAATGAGCCATGATCACAGCACTCTACCACAGTACTCCAGCTTGGGTAACAGACGGAGACCTGTCTCTAAATAAATAAGTAAATAAAAAAAAGTGTTTTTCCATACATAAAAATAAGTAAATAAACAGATAAATAAAATAGACATGGATTTGCTGAGAATAAAGCTAATTACAAGATAACAGAAAAGTGAGAACCAAAGATGGGGTTCACCCTAGCAAATGATTCCAGCCTATTAGAACACTCAGAATTTTCCCTGCAGCATGACCGACATGAAAGTAGAATGTCATCATGTCAGGCTGTACCAGCGTCGGGAGACTAAACACTGTGGGGAAGAACCTCCCTTATGGAATATTATCAACAGGTGAGAGCCCAGCTCCTGCCCTGATGGGCTACAGAAATGAGTTCCTGAGATAACACATTGCAGAAACATGCATAGAGTAGTTTAACCTTTTTTGTGTGTAACCCTTTCTCCATTTTCCTGCGAAATCCTCCCTAGTAATAGTGTTAGCTTTTAAGTTTTGAGGGTCCGATAGGACTGAAGCTGCATGCTGCAGGAGATACGTGGGGCCGGAAACTAACACAAACTGCAGCCACAGGCATAAATACTCATGGCCTAATGTAAAGTGAAAACTATACAAAATTCTTTACCGTTATTCGCACAAGTGTGTGAAGAGAGACTTTCCACATAACCAACTTGCCACTGAGACTAGTGAAGGCCAGATTCCACTGGAACAAGGCTATGAGTTACTCATGGGAAGGCCGTAGGACAAAGCCCAGAGATTTTTCATATTTGAGTCTGGGTCCTGTTTCTTTCCCTGTCTTCTCAGCTTTCTGTCTGTAGAGACCCCTATGTGGCTGCTCTCAGCACAGCCCAGTGCTGGCTGTGTTTGCTGGTTTAGTGCACCTGCTCTTTTTCCAAAAAGAGGGAGGAGTTGGCCACATTAAACTGAATGATGAAGCTCCTCATCAATCTGAATGCAGCTTTGTAAATGTGCCTAGAAACCACGCAAAGAAAAGTCTGTGTTCTTCCTTGCTTTGACCGTATGTGACACCTCCATTAGAAATTCTGCTTTTCTCTGCACTCCAGCCTGGGTAACAGAGTGAGACTTCATGATAAATAAAAAAGAAAGAGAGAGAGAAGGAAAGAAAGAAAGAGAGAGATGGAAAGAAAGAAAGAGAAAGAAAAAAAAAAGAAAGAAGAAAGAAAGAAAGAGAAAGAAAAGAAAAGAGAAAAGAAGAAAGGAAAAAAGAAAAGAAGAAAGGAAAAAAGAAAAAAGAAAATAAAAGAAATTCTTCTCTTCAGATTAGGCACATAAGGAGAATCTGTATAAATCTCCATGAAGGAAGGAAACCAGAGGACAAGTTAAAGTCTTGGAATTCACATCTGAGTACACAGACTCGTTCTCCAACCCTCTTCTTTTTATTCTGCCAGCTATGGCCTAGGTATGAACATGACAGGTACACAAGAGTTCCAACACCCGACAATCTACTTCAGTCCAAGAAGAGTGCCCTCCCTCTTGCTCCCCATCCAACTCATGGTACTAAGAAGTGGTGTGGGACTGCCCAGATGAGTTGACAAGAGAGGCTGGCGTGGAGGGGCCTGTCCTGGGCTGCCCTGTGTTATTTGTAGGTGCACCCGGCCAAAAGCCAGGGACATCAGTGATGAGGGCTCAGTTGACATCTGTGTTATCAGATAAGACTTTTACATTGAGCCTTTGTAAGGCTGAAACTCAGAAATTTCAGGGCACAATGAAAGAGCATCTCACTCTCTTGAGCAACTCTCACAAACAGAGGTGGATACAGAGCTGTCTCAAGAATGTGGATTCCTGGTTTCTTAACTGCTGTTGGGTTCTGACACCAAGAAAGTATGTTAAACTCTTCAAGGTTCCATCTACTGGGCCCCATGTTTCTGTAAGACATACCGAAAGGCCCCACTATGCTACTGATTGCTCAGTCTCCTCTTCCATGTCAACTCTTTATTTGTACACAATTATGCAAACACAACTTCCCCTTAATTCCCTGGAAAGACCTAAATGCAACCTGGGTTCCAGGATAGAAGAGACAGCTGGAACATAACCTTGTTTTTCTTACCATCTCTGGGACCCAGTAAAAGTCACTGTATTCAAGGCTTCCCCAGCCTCCTAACATGCACACTGGTGATGATGCTAACATCTACTTCCTAGGGAATGTATTAGGTGTATATAAGATAAGACATAAAAATAATGATGTAGTGTCACCTGTAGATAATGCATACACTTAGAGATGGAAGCATTAGGAGAATAGGTGGGAGGTAGCATGGGCCACAACTCAAACAGGCCTGGTGTCTGCCAGGGTGATCTTGGAAATATCACTTCTCCACTGGGCCTCATTTTCATTCTGCTCCAGTATGAAGTTGAAATTAAATGTAGATACTGTCCTCTGGCATTCATATAGTTTAGCTGTGCGTCCCCACCCAAAACTCATTGTGTATTATAACCCCTAGGTGTTAAGGGAAAACCTGAGGGGAGATGATTGGATTATGGGGACGGGTTCTCCTCATGCTGTTCTTGTGATAGTGAGTTCTCACGAGATCTGATAGTTTCATAAGCATCTGGTACATCCCATGCTCTCACTCACTTCACTTGTCAGCCACTGTAATTGGAAGGTTTCTGAGGTGCCCCCACAATTATGTGGAAATGTGAGTCAATTAAACTTCTTTACTTTATAAGTTACCCAGTCTCAGGTACTCCATCATTGCAGTATGAGAATGATCTAATACAGGAATTCAACTTTCTAGTGCTTTCTCTTTATATTTAGAATCATATCCATGTGCCTTATCACGTCTATGACAGAGGAAGTCTTCACAAAGTCTCCCAGTACTAGGTATTGAGTGACTCAGTTTTTTATTGAATAAAATGGAATACTTCCTGATGCCAGTACTATGGCCCTTCGGTTTTGAGGAAAATATCATCTTGTATGTTGGCTAACAAGGAGATAGGAGTTCAAATCAAATTTGTTTTGTCATACTGGCTTTAAGGCAGTGATTAGAAAAGGCCTAATAGGTGGGTTCTGTAGGGGATTGCTGGAAGGAAAGTAGGAATATGGAAAGTCATGAGACATATACAGTCATCTCTTCTTGTTTCCTCACAGGTCACATACAAATTCAGGGAGAGTTAGTATGAAGCACACAATGGAAATTTGGGCTCCAAAGTCTGCAAAGTGATGCTTCATGGACTTCAGTTGGCAATATTGGTTCCAACAATTTCAGCCAATGTTTAAAAAACTTATAGCAGTTAAATTTTTAGTGTTTCAACAAGCCGTTTCCTATCTTTCATTCTGAAGATCCATTTTTTAAGTCTTTTTTTTTAACAGTATAGGGGGTACAAATTCAGCTTCTCTCCAATGAAACACAGAAAAGGATATCACTTTTGTATTAGTTCAGGCTGCTATGCCAAAGAACCATAGATAGGCAGCATATAGACAACAGGACTTAATTTCTCATACCTCCAGAGGTTCAAATTTGAGATCAGGGTGTCAGCATGGTTGAGATCTGGTGATGACTGGCTTCTGAATTTCAGCCTGCACACTTCAGGTTTTACCCTCATTTTGCAGGAGGATGAGAGCCCTCTGCGGTTTCTTGTATAAAGCCAGTAATCTGTATTATGAGGGTCCCACCCTAAGGGTTTAATTACATTCTACCTCCTTATAGCATTACGCCCGGGGTTACAATTTTAACACAAATATAGAAGAAAAATTATAGTAACTCTCAAGTTTTTTTTCTTTCTTTCTTTCTTTCTTTTTTTTTTTTTTTTTTTTTTTTTTTGAGACACAGTTTCACTCTTGTATCCCAGGCTGGAGTGCAGTGGTGTGATCTCGGCTTATTGGAACCTTTGCCTCCCAGGTTCAATTGATTCTCCTGCCTCAGTCTCCCAAGTAGCTGGGATTACAGGCATGCGCCACCACATCTAGCTCATTTTGTATTTTTAGAAGAGACGGTGGTTTCACCATGTTGTCCAGGTTGGTTTCAAACCCTTGACCTCAGGCGATCCACACGTCTCAGCATCCCAAAGTGCTGGGATTACAGGTGTGAGCCACCGCACCCTGTCAAGATGTTTTTAAAGCTCTAATTTTTCTCCTACTGGGTTTTTCTCGTTTGCGCCCTCGATCTTTCTGTCTCTTTTTGTGTAAACCTTTTTGTCTAATTCTGTCTATTGTATTCCTCAAACACAGGAAGCAAGCTCCAATGCTATGAGATGCTCCATGTAGAGACCCACATAACAAAGGGTGAGAGGGTGCTCAGACGAGTAGAGAGAAGGAAAGTCAGGCTCTCCAGCCACACTAAACCCTGTCAATTTTCACATGAGTCAGCTTAAAGGCTCATGCTTTCCCAGTCCAGCTTCAGTTAAGACCACAGCCCCCAGTCTCATAAAAGACCTGAAGGCAGAGGTAGCCAGCTGAGCTGTGTCCAGATTCTGGTCCACACACATTATGAGATATTATATGTTGTTGAAAAGTGCTGACTTTTAGGGCAATGTTGTCAGAAAGGAGCAGATATCTAACCTCATCTCCCAGGCCCTAGGATTCTCCATCCCTCTGCTTATCTCTTTCTCAGGCTGTCTGCAGCCAAACTAGTCCCTTTTTACCTCTGCCAAACTCACACCTATGAGTTTTTTCACTAAGGGTGGCTTCTCCCTGACACATGCTTGTGCAGATGCCTCCCTGCTGTCATCCTCATCATGGATTAAAAGTCACCTCAGTGAGGCCTGAGGTCCTCCCATGCAATAATTTTCCAGGTTTTCTTCTCAATAATCTACTTTATATTATAGTCCTTGCTCTTTTCTTTCACATATACTTGCTTTAGTGCTTTTGTCCAGCGGTCCTCAGATTGTTTGGTCCTGGGTTGGGGGGTGCAGACATGAAGTAATAATTTTCTGTACCACATGTTGGACCCACCAGGGTCGCTGGCAAATGGTGAGCGCAAGGGAAAAAAGACTGGCTAAGTGATTATATGGGGGATCCCTAATATCCCTTCCCCTTTTGACCACCTGATAATGTGGACATCACTGATAACAACATGAGGTGTGTGACTGTTACTTGTTCCAGCTGCTCCAGCAAAGCTCAGTGGGCACCAGAAACACAGTAGGCTGTAACCACCTCCTGGCCATCACTAACCCTACAGCCCCAAGCAGGAGCACTACTGAACAAATCTGATACCTTGATTTTTCTGTCCTCAAGACACTGGTTCTTCAAGGTCCTAGGGGATAAAGTAGCAGGATCTGAAGGCCCCAAGTATAATGAGTGAACTAGGAATCCCGTTTTGCCCTCTCTTTGCCTCCACCTTTTTGGTTGTGCTATTTACTCATGAGGTATCCTCCCCTTATCCAGTGAAATTATTTTCTACCACTTTCAAATGAGGACCTTAAGAACGCAACAGTAGCTGAGATTTTCCGTGGACCTCAGCCTCAGAGTCCAGTGCTCTGGCACATTTAACTCTGTCTCATCTTCATCTACCCAAGATGCCTCTCAAGTGGCCATGCCTCCCTCTGATTTGAAGGATCTGCAGAGTGGGTGCATTTTTGCAGTCTCAGAGCAAGAATCCAGGCTGGCAGACACTTATGAGTATGTGAAATCATCAAGGTCACCCACTTCAGGCACCCCTATTTATGAGGAAGAAAACAAGCTTTCCTGTAGGCACTGTCTACATTAGGCTGAGGTGGAGCATAGCTCATTTTACTTCCAGTTGCCCTCAGAGCTGGATGCAGAACCCCAGTCCTGTTATCTTGAAACTGACATGGAGAGGACCCCATGTGAACAGAACCCTGAATCTGCTCATTTTCTGTGCTCCTGAATGTGTAGCTACAGACTCTAATTTCGAAAACAAACCTGATAAGTGGGACGGTGCCAAGGCCTAGGAAGCTGGAGCCCTCTCTAATGCTCTGGAGCCTGCCCACCTCCTGAGATCTGGACCAGTCTCTGCCTCTTCTGGGGCCTCAGTTTCCCAATTGTAATGTAATGAGAAATTAAATGTAAAACTGCATAAACATATGCTCTGTGAGAATTTGGTGTCAGAGTTCTCAATACTGGATGATAATTTGGAGTGGGGTGGGTTTGGGACCCATGGGTTCTCAGGCCTCCTTTCACACCCAGTGCAGTAGGTGTAGAGCTCTGGACAGCCAGGTGTTCTTTCCTGAGCCAGCTGATTACAACACAATGGACCAAGGGCTCTGATCTTAAATATGGTTTCACAGGATACCCCACCTTCAGCCACCACCTGCTCTGTGCTTCCCATATTTTGGGGAGCTGATGACAAACCCCATTATAGTGAAGAAGAACAAGAAACTAGACTTGTGGGCCTGGGGAAAAGAAAAAAACACTTCTATTTCTCCCAAACTGTAGAATCTCTTGTCAAATATTTAATTTTGATTATATCTGAGCTTGATAATACATTCATGTGTTAACAGCTGCTTAAATTTATTTTTTCTGTGAAGTGTGGGATAATGTCTTTGCCGTATTTTAAATCAAATTCTAAAAGCTCTCTTTAGAGTGGATAAGTGAGCATCTTTGTAATATAAACTTCACATATTTGTTGCCAGTTTGTTCTTTTTGTTTTTGTTAAAATGTTTTGTTTTATTCTGATTTGGATGTCTTTTGGCGTTTTGCTTTGTGGCTATTTATTATGACAGTGTAACTTCTCCTCTAATTGACTGACGGTTTGTACATTCTCAATAAAATATTTTCATAAAATCTTTGTAAAAATTGTGTAGTCAATTTTACATTACATAAACATAAAACAGTAAAGACTATCACGATGAAAAAGGAAGATTGAGGGCTTAAAAAGTAAAATACGACACAGCTAAAGTAGTCTGAAAGGGAAATTTACAGCACTAAATCCCCACAAGAGAAAGCAGAAAAATGTCTAAAATCGACACCGTAACATCACAATTAAAAAAACTAGGGAAGCAAGAGCAAACAAATTCAAAAACTAGCAGAAGACAAGATTTAAGATCAGAGCAGAACTGAAGGAGATAGAGACACAAAAAGCCCGTCCAAAAAATCAATGAATCCAGGAGCTGGTTTTTTTAAAAGATCAAGAAAATAAATAAACTTCTAGCCAGACTAATAAGGAAGAAAAGAATCAAATACATGCAATAGGAAATGATAAAGGGGATATAACCGTTGATCCCACAGAAATAAAAAGTATCATTACAGAATATTATAAATACCTCTTTGCAAATTAACTAGAAAATCTAGATGAAATGGATAAATTCCTGGACACATATACCCTCCCAAGTGCAAACCAGTAGGAAGTCGAATCCTTGAATAGGCCAATAACAAGTTCTAAAATTGAGGCAGTAATTAGTAGCCTACCAACAAAAAGAAGTCCAGGACCAGACGGATTCACAGCCGAATTCTACCAAAGGTACAAAGAGGAGCTGGTACCATTCCTTCTGAAATTATTTCAAACAATAGAAAAAGAGGTACTCCTCCCTAATTCATTTTATGTGGCCAGCATCATCCTGAAACCAAAACCTGGCAAAGACACACCAGAAAAAGAAAATTTCAGGCCCATATCCCTGATGAATATCGATGCGAAAATCCTCAATAAAATACTGGCAAACCGAATCCAGCAGCACATCAAAAAGCTTATCCACCACGATCTAGTCAGCTTAATCCCTGGGATACAAAGCTGGTTCAACATATGCAAATCAATAAATAAAATCCATCACATAAACAGAACTAATGACAAAAACCACATGATTATCTCAATAGATGCAAAAAAGGCCTTCAATAAAATTCCACACCTCTTCATGGTAAAAACTCTCAATGAATTATGTATTGATGGAACCTATCTCAACATAATAAGAGTTATTTATGACAAATGCACAGCTAATATCATACTGAATGGGCAAAAACTGGAAGCATTCCCTTTGAAAACCTGCACAAGACAAGAACACCCTTTCTCCCCACTCCTATTCATTATAGTATTGGAAGTTCTGGCAATCAGCAAAAGAAAGAAAGAAATAAAGCGTATTCAGATAGGAAGAGAAGAAGTCAAATTGTCTTTGTTTGCAGATGACATGATTGTATATCTAGAAAACCCTACCATCTCAGCCCAAAATTTCCTTAAACTGATAAGCAACTTCAGCAAAGTCTCAGGATACAAAATCAATGTTCAAAAATCACAAGCATTCCTATACGCAATAATAGGCAAACAGAGAGCCAAATCATGTGTTAACTCTCATTCACAATTGCTACAAAGGGAATAAAATACCTAGGAATCCAACTTAAAAATGATGTAAAGGACCACTTCAAGGAGAACTACAAACCACTGCTCAAGGAAATGAAAGAGGACACAAACAAACGAAAACAATCCATGCTCATGGATAGGAAGAATCAATATTATGAAAATGGCCATATTGCCCAAAGTAATTTATAAATTCATTGCTATCCCCATCAAGCTCCCATTGACTTTCTTCACAGAATTAGAAAAAAAACTACTTCAAATTTCATATGGAATCAAAAAAGGTCTTGCATAGACAAGACAATACTAAGCAAAAAGAACAAAGGTGGAGGCATCATGCTAGCTGTCTTCAAACTATACTAAAAGGCCACAGTAACCAAGACAGGATGGTACTCGTACCAAAACAGATATATTGACAAATGGAACAGAACAGAGGCCTCAGAAATAACACTCAACATCTAGAATCATCTGATCTTTGATGAACCTGACAAAAACAAGTAATGGGGAAAGGATTCCCTATTTAATAAATGGTGTTGGAAAACTAGCTAGCCATATGCAAAAAACTGAAACTGGACTTCTTCCTTACTCGTTATACAAAACATAACTGAAGATGGATTAAAGACTTAAACATAAGACTTAAAACCATAAAAACCCCAGAAGAAAACCAAGGCAGTACCATTCAGGACATAGGCATGGGCAAAGACTTCATGACTACAACACCAAAAACAATGGCAACAAAAGCCAAAATTGACAAACGAGATATAATTAAACTAAAGAGCTTCTGCACAACAAAAAAAACTATATCAGAGTGAACAGGCAACCTAAAGAATGGGAGAAAATTTCTGCAATCTATCCGTCTGACAATGGGCTGATATGTAGAATCTACAAAGAACTTAAACAAATTTACAAGAAAAAAAGAAACAACAACATCGAAAATGGGCAAAGGATTTGAACAGACACTTCTCAAAAGGAGACATTTATGCAGCCAATAAACAAATGAAGAAAAGGACATCATCACTGGTTATTAGACACATGCAAATCAAAAACACAATGAGAAACCATCCCACACCTGTTAGAATGGTGATCATTAAAAAAATCAGGAAACAACAAAGGATGTGGAAAAATAGGAAGACTTATACACTGTTGGTGAGAGTGTAAATTAGTTCAACCAGTGTGGAAGACAGTGTGGTGATTCCTCAAGGATCCACAATGAGAAATACCATTTGACCCAGCAATCACATTACTGGGTATATACCCAAAGGATTATAAATTATTCTATTATAAAGATACATGCATACGTATGTTTATTATGGCACTGTTCACAAGAGCAAAAACTTTGAAACAAACCAAATGACCATCAATGATAGACTGAATAAAGAAAACTTGGCATGTCCACATCATGGAATACGATGCAGTCATAAAAAGGATGAGTTCATGTCCTTTGCAGGGACATGGATGAAGCTGGAAACCACCATTCTCAGCAAACTAACACAAGAGTAGAAAAGCTAACATCGCATGTTCTCACTCATAATAGGGAGTTAAACAAAGAGAACACACGGACACAGGAAGGGGAACATCACACACTGGAGCCTGTCGGGAAGTGGGGGACTATGGGAGGGATAGCATTAGAAGAAATATTCCTGGCCTAGGCCACTATTGCGATTTTCTAAATTTTGTTTCAAAAACATGATATGTTTCAAAAATTGTTATTGGTATGTAATTATATAAATATATAGTTCAGAAAAAAGAATCAACATTAATTATGCTTTTTCCAAAATACTTTATGGTTTTGAGCTCTTCTAGCAGTGACATTTTTGCTGTAGGTAATTGCTGTGTATCTGGTATATTCATCATAGCATACTTTGTGCCGTTTACACTTATCCTTCAATTTCCCACTCTCCTAAGTGTAAAAGTTCAAGGCCAGAGCTCCCATATCTTCCCAATATTACTTTTTGAAAAGAAGCTTCTATGTACTGTTTTCTCTGGGTCTTGATTGGATATATTGCTAAAAGAGCTGAAAAATAATAATTTTTTTAAAAATTCGGTGATGAGATTAAAGTAAATATATTTTATAAATCTAATGTACAAAATGAGGTCAGCTGAGAAGACAATGACAGTTGAAGCAGAACCTGAGATCCTGTTTCTCTCCATTGACATATGAACTTAACTACAATTGGGCGAACAAAGCCAGTTGAGTTTGTAGCACCCCACATGAGAAAAAAGCCAACCATAACCACATTTAGAAGAAAATTTGGTCACATTTGTGCACTACAGAACAGCGCAGTTAGATAAAAATCTGTCCATTCCATGATTCTCCTTTGGGAAAGAAAAAAGAGTGAAATGCGTATGCAAACTTCTGACTTACTGAGTTATACCGGGGTTATCTAAAGACTGGAAATTGCTTCCTTTAACATTTAGTGTTGATGAGAATAGAGACTGAGTTTAAATGACAGCTTGGGTCAACTGAGAATAAAGATAAATGCTTCTTACAACAACAGAGACTGTAGTGCCTACAACAGTGACGAAGGGAAGAGACTAAAGGCTCCTAAGAGGAAACAGAGGTAAACCTTATTAACAAGAAAATACATACAGTAGTCCAAAGAAGACACATTTTGACAACAGATTGGAGAAGCTCCCAGTATGACTACTGTGGCTGAATGTTGTCAATTTTCCCATGTATAAAGCTCTTTCATAAAGGATAAAATAGGTAGTGGTTTCTTAATTGATCAAAACCTTAACAAAACTACAGTAAGTAAAAGCAACCAGGAAATATAACCTAATCAAAGGAGAAAAATATATATTCAAGTGAACCTAAAGAAGTGGAGATCTAGGAATTATTTTTTTAACTTAAAATCTTTTTATTTTTCTTTACTTTTTCATTTTATGCAGAGGATCTTACTTTATCTCCTGGGACAGAGTACACTGGTGGAATCACAGCTCACTGTAACCTCAAATTTCGGAAGTCAAGCAGTCATGCCACCTATGTCTCCTGAGTAAATATGACCACAGTTGTGCACATTACCCCTCCTGTATAGTTTCTTTAAAAAAATTTGTACAAACAGTATGTTGCTGTGTTGCCTCGGCTGGTCTCAAACTCCTGGTCTCAGGCAATCCGACTGCTTCAGTCTGAAAGTGCTGGCACAAGCTACCATACCTGGAATTGTTTCTCTTTTAAGAAAAAATAGCTTTAAATCATTAATAGTAAAATAAAACAAAGAAAGGTATTGCGTAACGATAAAGGGTTCAATTCAACAAGAAGACTTAACTATCGTAAATGTAGATGCACCCAACTTTGGGGAACATAGAGTTATACAACAATTACTGCTAGAACTACAATAAGCCTCAAGTAGACACACAATAATAGTAGGGGAATGCAACTCCCCACTAAGTGTTTGACAGATTATCTAGGCAGAAACTTAACAAAGAAATTCTGGAGTTTGATTCGACACTTGATCAATTGAAACTAATAGACATTTATAGTATATGCAACACATCATCTAAAGAAAGTAAATTCTTCTCATCTGCTCACAGAATATGACAGGCCACAATGGAACAAAGATAAAAATCAATACCAAGAAAATCTCACAAAATCACAGAATGATATTGAAATTAAACAACTTGCTCCTGAATGAATTTTGGATAAACAAAAAAATTAAGGCAGAAAATTAAAAAGATTTTGAAATAGAAGAGACACAATATAACAAAATGTCTGGGTTGTAGGAAGAGCTCTGTTAAGAGGAAAGTTGAGAGTGCTAAATACCTGCATCAAGAAGTTAGAATGATCTCAAACTAACAATTTAACATCACACTTAGAGAAACTAGAAAAATAAAAACTAACTTACCCCAAAGCTAGCAGAATGGCAAAAATATTCATAACCTATGAACCTGACAAAATCTAATACTCAGAATCTATAAGAAACTTAAAGAATTCACAAGGAAAAAATTACCCCATGAAAAAGTGGGCAATAACAGACACTCTTCAAAAGAACACATACAAGTGGCCAAATAACATGAAAAAAGCTTATCATCACTAACCATCAAGGAAATGTAAATAAAAACCACAATAAGACACCATTGTACACCAGTTAGAATGGTTTTTGTTAAAAAGTAAAATGATAATAGATGTTGATGGGGTTTTAGAGGGAAAAAACCACTTATACACTGTTAATAGGAATGTAAATTAGTTCAGCCACTGTGGAGAACAGCTTGGAGATTTTCCAAATAACTGAGAGTTAAACTGTGATTCAACCCAGCAATTTCACCGCTGGGTATATACCCAAAAGAGAATAAACTATTCTACCAAAATAGCACATGCACTTGTTGGTTCATCACTACACTATTCATAAGAGGAAGGACCTGAATCAACCTACGTGCCTATTCATGGTAATTTTTTATTTTTTTGAGATGACGTCTCACTCTGTTGCCCAGGCTGGAGTGCAGTGGCACGATCTCAGCTCACTACAATCTCCACCTCCCAGGTTCAAGCAATTCTCCTTCCTCAGCCACCCGAGTAGCTGGGACTATAGGCGCATGCCACCAAGCCTGGCTAACTTTTGTATTTCCAGTACATACGGGGTTTCATTACGTTGTCCAGGATGGTCTCGATCTCCTGACCTCATGATCCACCCGCCTTGGCCTCCCACAGCACTGGGATTACAGGCATCAGCCACCATGTCCAGCCTATTGATGGTAAATTGAATTTAAAAAGTGTCACATGTACAGCAATACTACTTAGCAAAAACAAACAAAAAAAACCTCCTTTGCAGCAACGTTAACACAACTAAAGGCCATTATACAAAGCAAATTAATGCAGAAATGGAAAATGAAAATACTGCATATTCTCACTTATAAATGGAAATTAACACTGGGTACACATGGACAGAAAAACAAAAATAATAGACAACTCTTAGAGGGTGGAGAGAGGGAGGGACCAAGAACTGAAAAACTGTCTACTTAGTACTATGCTCACTACCTGATTGATGGAATTACTCATACTTCAAACCTCAGCATTATACAAAATACCCATGTAAAAAACCTGTGTAGGTACCTCCTAAATCTAAAATAAATTTGAAATTCTAAAAAGAGGTCTTACTCTCTCACCCAGACAGGAATACAATACGATGATTATAGCTCAATGCAGCCTCAAGTTCCTGGGGAACTCAAGGAATAATCTTACGTCAGCCTCCAACTTCCTGAGACTACAGGAACATTCCACAATGCCTGAGTAATCTGTGAAAATATTTTTTACCAATAGCTTGTCACAATATTGCCCGGGGTAGTGTCGAACTCCTGGATTTAAGTAATTGACAGGGTTTGGCTCTGTGTCCCCAATCAAATCTCATCTTAAATTGTAATAATCCCCACATGTCCTGGGAGGGACCCTGTGGGAGGTAATATTTTTATCAAAATATCAATGACATTTTTTCACAGAAATAGAAAAAATATTTTAAATTTATGTGGATCCACAAAAAACTCTGAATAGACAAATAACTTTGAGCAAAATAAGCAAAGCTAAAGGCATCACTTTATCAAACTTCAAAACTTGCTACAAAGCTATAGTAACCAAAAGAGCACTGTACTGGCATAAAAACAAACACATAGACTAATGTGCCCAAGAAGCCCAGAAGTTAGTTTATGCACCTAAAGCCAACTGATTGTCAACAAAATTGCCAAGAACACACTTTAGGGAAAAGCTAATTTCTTCAATAAATGATGCAGGGCCATTTAAATATTTAAATTCAGAAAAATTATACTAGACCCCTGTGCCTTGCCATATATGAAAATCAATTCAAACTAAAGACTTAAATGTAATGCTATCAATTATGAAACTATTAGAGAAAAACTAAAAAATGCTTTATAACATTCGACGGGGAAAGGATTATTAAAATAACATGTCAAAACATAGGCAACAAAATCAAAAATAAGCAAACAACATTATGTCAAACTAAAATGCTTTTCCATATTAAAAAAACTAAAAGATTGAAGAGACAGCTTAGGCAATAAAAGAAAATGCTTTCAGGCTATACATATGACAAAAGGCTAATATTCAGAATAAATAAGAAACTTTAAAATCTCAAAATAAAATACACTTATAATCTAATTAAAAAAATGCAAAAGATCTTAATAGATGTTTGTCAAAAAGTGATACAAAAATGGCTAACTGGAACATAAAAATATGTTCTACATTACTAATCACTAAGGAAATGAAAATCCAAACCACAATGAGGTACCGCCTCACTCCCATTTAGAATGGCTATAATAAAAATAAATAAATAAATAAAACAAGTACTAATGAGGATATAAAATGAGTGAATGTATACATTGTTGGTGGAATTGTAAATTAGTATGGCCACTATAGAAAATACTATGGAGGTTTCTGAAAGAAATTAAAAATAGATGTATTACATGATCCAGCAATTTTACTCCTGCATGTATATACAAAAGAAAGGATATCACTGTGTCAAAAAGATATTTGCATTTCCATGTTAGTTACAGAACTAGTTATAATAGCTTATATATGGAATCAATTCAAATGTACAGCAACAGATAAATGGATAAGGAAAATGTACTATATATGCACAGTGAAATACTATTCAGCTATAAGAAAGGATAAAATTCTGTCAGTTAAAAGAGCATGGATGAACCTTGAGCATACCATGTTAAGTAAAATAAGCCACATAGAGAAACACAAATACTTTATGATCTTATTATCTCACTCATTTGAGGAACCTGAAAAAAAGGGTTGATATAAGCAAAGAGTACAACAGGGGTTCCCAGAGACTGAAGCAGGGAGATGGGAAAAGGCAGCTTCAAAAGTATTGTGTTACAATTAGATAGGAGAAATAAGTTTTTGTTTTTTGTTACACAGCAGAATAATAATAATTAATGAAAAGTTATCTCAAATTACAAAATAGCTAAAAGAGACCAGTTGTGGTGGCACATTCCTGCCATCCATACATTTTGGGAGAATGAGGTAGGAGAATCACTTGATGTCAGAAGTTCAAGATGAGCCTGGACAACATAGTGTGACCCTGTCTCTATGAAAAATTAAAACATTATCCAGGCATGGAGGCAGGTTCCTGTAGTCTCAGCTAATTGGGAAGCTGAGGTTAGAAGATTGTTTGAGGTTACAGTGAGCTAGGATTGCACCACTGCACTCCAATCTGTGTGTTAGAGCAAGATCCTGTCTCTAAAAAAAGTTAATATATAAAGATATAAAAAAATAGCTAGAGAAGAAGCTTTTGAATGTTCTCACCACAAAAATAACAAATGTATGAGGCAATAATTACACTAAGTACTCTGATTTTTATTGCTATACAACATATATACATAATTGTTTCCCCAAAATTTGTACAATTACATGTGTCAATTTTAAAATATGAAGACTATAATGTAAAATCTATAGCTGTAAAATTCCTAGCACAATACAGAAGGGTGAAGCTTCATGACAATTGGTCTCGGCAATAATTTGGGGGATGTAACATCAACGAATCAGACAACAAAAGCAAGGGAATACACATGGTACTAAATCAGTGTGTGAAAAATATCCCAAACAGGCAAAGCAGAACATGGAATAGATATATGCACATTTATGTACACTGTAGCATTACTCACAAACATACTACCTGGAAGCAAATGTACCTTTAAGGATGAGTAGATTCAACAAACAGGGCACGTATATTCACTGGATAGCATTCAGCCTTAAAAATAAGGAAATCTTGAAAAGTACTACAATAAGGACAAATCTCGAAAACATTCTGTTAAGTAAAACAAGACAGTCAAAAAGGAAAACTGTATAATTACACCTATGTAAAATATTTAGTCAAACTCAAAGAAACCAAGTGTTGTAGTCTCAGCAGTGCACCAAGATGTAACAGTCTCTCATAGTCTGAGATAGCATCGAAAGTTCTTTGTTCTACTTCTAGGGAGATTAAGGAGCGTGAACACAAAGGTGAGGTTAGAGTGAAAGTTTGATAAGCAAGAGAAGAAAGCTCTTTGCCAGCAGAGATAGTTTCTGAATGGGGTGACCTCTGTGAGGCTGGGGCCCAAGGTTTTTATGGACTGGGAAAGGAAGAGAAGGAAATGTGCCTAGTTAACAGGCTGTCTTGAAAAAAGTGTGGCTCAGCTTGGCCCAGGACTTTGACCCGGGACCAATCAGGAGCTGAAGGGATGATTCATAGATGCTATTTAGATTGGCCCAGGACTTATCAGAAGCTAAAGTGAAAGCTTGGCGCAGGAGCTTGTCCCGGGAGCAATCAGGGGCTGAAGTAATTATTCACAGAGGTCTGACTTACAGTCCAAATAAAGGAGAGTGTCGACCGGAATGCACCAGAGCCCACTGTGCTTATGCCCACAAAAGGAGAAGAAACATTTTCCTGGGAGCCCACTGACTGCACAAAGTACAAAGGCGTTTCTTTTTTTCTTTTTCTTTTCTTTCTTTCTTTCATTTTTGTTTTTGAGATGTACTTTCTTATTATTTATTAATTTATTTATTTTGAGACGTAGTTTTGCTCTTGTTGCCCAGGCTGGAGTGCAATGGTGCGATCTCGGCCCACAGCAAACTCCGCCACCTGGGTTTAAGTGATTCTCCTGCCTCAGCCTCCCAAGTAGCTGGGATTACAGGCATGAGGCACCATGCCCGGCTAATTTTGTATTTTTCTCCATGTTGGTCATGCTGGTCTCGAACTCCCGACCTCAGGTGATCCGCCCACTTCTGCCTCCCAAATTGCTGGAATTACGGGCATGAGCCACTGTGCCTGGACAAACAAAGGCATTTCTATGCCAGGTCGGTCTTGTTCCCTTATCTCAGTGAGCTGGAGGTTTGTACAAGTTTTTATCCAAATATGCCAGAGGTTTTTCTGTCTGTGCAGCCATGGGCAGGTCTCCAAGCACAACACCATGTGCTAGTTACCTTGTTAGTGTCTGCAGCTTGATTTTTTCCAGGATTCCTTTTATATTATGCAGGGATGAGACACTGACCCAAGGGCCAGGGACTTTCCAGGGACCCTTCTCTTGCTATCTAACTAAAGCAAGCTAACTAACTTGTTTCAGAATTAATGAGTATTCACTTTTACTTTTGTAAGACAAAAATTATCTAAAACCTATTGCAAAAAAAAATAGAACTATACTTACCACTTCTAAACCATATACTTAAAATGTTAGAAATGAAAATGGCATGTTTTTAACTACAATTAGAAATTTAGGACTACCTAAAAGGCACGGTTACAAAATCTTCAAACATCCCCTTCAAATAACAAAGGGTTCTTCTCACTTAATTATTTAGATTTAAACTATAAGTTGATTGTAAATTTAAGATTATTTCCCTGACTACTCACCAAGATAGAATAAAATAATCACTAGAAACCAAGAAAAGAGGGAAATTTATAGCACTAATGTCCACATCAAAAAGCTAGAAAGGGCCGGTCATGGTGGCTCATGCCTGTAATTCCAGCACTTTGGGAGGCTGGGGTAGGCAGATCACTTGAGACCAGGTGTTCAGGACCAGCCTGGCCAACAGCAAAACCATATCTCTACAAAAAAATACAAAAATTAGCTAGGTGTGGTGATTCACATCTGTAATCCCAGCTACTCAGGAGGCTGAGACAGCAGAAGTGACTTAAAACCGAGAAGTGGAGGTTGCAGTGAGCCGAGATTATGCCACTGTACTCCAGCCTGGGTGACAGAGTGAAACTCTCCCACAAGAAAAAAAAAAATTAGAAAGATCTAAAGTTAACAGCCTAACATCTTGGTTAAAAGAACAAGAAAACCAAGTGAAAACAAACCTGAAAGCTAGCAGAAGATAAGAAATAGCCAAGATCAGAGTAGAGCTGAAGGAGATAGAGACACTGAGAACTCTTCCAAAAAAAAAAAAAAAAAACTCAACCAATCCAGGAGCTGTTTTTATGAAAAAAAAAAAAATTTATAAACTAGATGGAACACTAGTTAGGCAAATAAATAAGAAAAGAAAGAACCAAACACAAATAGAAATAATAAGGGAGATATCATCACTGATCCCATGGAAATAAGAACAACGATCAGAGAATACTATAAACACCTCTATGCTCATAAACCAGAAAATCTAGAAGAAATGGACAATTTCCTTGCAAAATAAACTCTCTACAAGACTGAACCCTGAATAGATCAATAATGTGTTCTGAAATTGAGACAGTAAGAACTAGCCTACCAAGCAAGCTGAATTTGACTTGAGGTAAAGAGGAGATAGTACATTTTCTCCTAAAACTATCCAAAAAAAATTGAAGACAAAGAAGTTCTGTCTAACTCATTCTATCAGGCCAGCATCATCCTGATACCAAAACCTAACATAGATACAACAACAACAACAACAACACATCATGCCAATGTCTTTGATGAACACTGTGCAAACATCCTCAATAAAATACTGGCAAACCAAACCCAGCAGCACATTAAAAAGTGCATCCACCACAATGGAATTGGCTTTGTCTCCAGGATGCAAGGTTGATTCAACATATGCAAATCAACAAATGTGACTCATCACATAAAGAAAACTAAATAAAAAAACCACATGATTACCTCAATAGATGCAGAAAAAGCACCCAATAAAATTCAACATTCCTTCACGTTTAAAATTCTCAATAAATTAGGAACTGAAGAAACATACCTCAAAATAAGAAGAGCCATATACAACAAACCCACAGCCAATATCATACTGAATATGCAAAAGCTGGAAACATTCCCCCTGAAAACCGGCACAAGAAAAGTATGCTCTCTCTCACCACTCGCATTACAACTCCCATTCGGAAAACTTGTCCAGGAAAATCAGGCCAGAGGAAGAAATAAACAGTATTCAAATAGAAAGAGAGAAAGTCAAATTATCTTTGTTTACAGATGACCTGACCCTATATCTAGAAAGCCTCTTCGTCTCAGCCCCAAAGCTTCTTAAGGTGATAAGCAGCAGTAGCAAAATCTCAGGATATAAAATCAATCTGCAAAAGTAGCTAGCATTCCCATACACAAGCAACAGGCAAGCAGGGAGACAAATCATGAATGAACTTTCATTCACATTTGCTATAAAGAGAAAAAAATACCAAGGAATACAGCTAAGAAGGAAAGTGAAGGATATCTTCAAGGAGAACTACAAACAACTACTCAGAGGAATCAGAGTGGACACAAAACAAATGGAGAAACATTCCATGCTCACGGAGAGAAAGAATCAGTACCACGAATATGAGCATATTGCCCTAAGTAATTTATAGATTCAATGCTGTTCCCATTGAACTACTGACATTCTTCAGATAATTAGAAAAAAAAAACTTTTTAAAATTAAAATGGAACCAAAAAAGAGCCCAAATAGCCAAGCCAACCTTAAGAAAAAAAAAAAAAAAAGCTGAAAGGGTCATTGCCTAACTTCAAACTGTACTAGAAGAGTACAGTAACAAAAACAGCATGGTACTGGTATAGAAACAGACACATAGACAAATGAAACAAAATAGAGAGCATAGAAATAAAGCCAAAAACCTACAACAAACTGATCTTTGACAAAGTCAACAAAAACAAGGAATTAGGGAAAAGTCTCCCTATTCAATAAATAGTGCTAGGATAACTGGCTAGTCATGTGCAGAGAATTAAGACTGGAACCCTTCCTAACACCATAGACAAAAATTGACTCAAGATGGATTAAAGACTTGAATGTAAAACCCAAAACTATAAAAACCTTAGAAGAAAAAATCTAGAAAATACCATTCAGGATATAGTCATGAGGAAAGATTTGATGACAAAAAGACCAAAAGAAATAGCAACAAAAGCAAAAATTGACTAATGGGGTCTAATTAAACTAAAGAGATTCCACAGAGCCAAAGAAGCTATCATCAGAGCAGAGAAGCTAGAGAATGGGAGAAAAATTTTGCAACCTATTCATCTGACAAATATCTAATACCCAGAATCTATGAGGGACTTAAAATTTACAAGAGAAAAACAAACAACCCCATTAAAAAGTGGTCAAAGGACATGAACAGACATATCTCAAAAGAAGACATACATGTGCCCAACAAACATGGAAAGCTCAACATCACTGATAACTGGATAAATACACATCAAAACAACAATGAGATACCATCTCACACCAATTACAATGTCTATTAATAAAAAGTAAAAAAGAAATAAAAACAGATGCTGGTGAGGTTGTGGAGAAAAGGGAACACTTTTACACTGTTGGTGGGATTGTAAATTATTTCAAGCATTGTGGAAGAGAGTGTGGAGATTCCTCAAAGACCTAGAAGCAGAAATACCATTTGACCCAGCAATACTATTACTGGGCATACACCCAAAGGAATATAAATCTATTTTAAATAAACATGTATACATATGTTCATTGCAGCAATATTTACAATAGCAACGTCATGTAATCAATCTACATGCCCATCAATGATATACTGGATAAAGAAAATGTGGTACACATACACCATGGAACACTATGAAGCCATAAAATGTAATGAGATGATGTCCTTTGCAGGGACATGGTTGGAATTTGAAGCCATTACTCCCAGCAAACTAATGCAGGAACAGAAAACCAAACACCACCTATTATTATTCTAACTTATTAGCAGAAGCAGATCAATGAGAACACATGGACACATCAGGAAGAACAACACACACTGGACACCTGTTTCATGGCATGGGGGAGGGGAAGGAGAGCAGCAGGAAGAATAGCTGCGGATGCTGGGCTTAGTACCTGGGTGATGAGATGATCTGTGCAGTAAAGCACAATGGCACACGTTTATCTATGTAAGAGACCTGCATATCCTGCACATGGACCCCTAAACTTAAAATAAAAGTTGAAAAAAAAGCTTATCACATATGGACCACTGAACTTAAAATAAAACTTGAAAAAACATGAGTATGAGGTGGATTCCCTAGGTTAGACCCAAACTGAAGATCCTGAAGCTCCTGCTGGGGGATTTGGGGCTGGGGGCACCCTGGGGAGCTGCTGCCAAGGCCATCCACCGTCCCTACAGGCCGCCTCTCTTCCCGGCCTGTGATGGAAAGGAGAAGGGGTATGTGAACAGCTGTGGAAGTCAGACTCTCGGGAACTGAATCAGGCCCCAGCCCATGCCCCCCAGCCCAGTCCAGCCAACGTGCCCGCTGTCTTCCCACCCAGCCAGCCGAGCCCTCAGGATTGTTAGATGGAACCAGGCTCCATCACCACCCAGGCATGGAGGGAAGATGCCCTGGTCCTTAGCAAGCAAGGCCTGGTTTCCAAAGTGCTCTCCGAAGAGGCCTCATGTTTGTGACATCTTAGAAGGTACCTTTCTGCTGTTCTTGCACCCAGCATGTTGGCAAGTCAAGTTCCCCCACTGAGTTCTCCACACATAAGGAGGGAGTCAACACCATTGCTAAGTCGGATCAGCTCAAGTGTCTCCAGTATCAGTTTTATCAGATCCCAGGGACCTGCCTGCTCCCAGAGGTGACAGAGAAAAATCAAGGAACGATCTGTATGGTCACTGACATGGATGAAACCCTTGTGCATAGCTCCATTAAGCCAATCAGCAATGCTGACTGCCTAGTGACTGTAAAGATTGAGGGGACCATGAGGCCTTATATGGATGAGTTCCTGAGATGACTGGAGGAACTGTTTAAATGTGTTTTCTTCATTGCTCTCTTCATTCCAGACTGAACAAGTATGCAGATCCTGTTGAGAGGTGACAGCGTGCTGGCAGTCCTCACAACCCTTGCTCACTCTCCGGGCCTCCTCTGCCTGGGCTCCAACTTTGGCGGCACTTTAGGAGCCCTTCAGCCTGTCGCTGCACTGTGGGAGCCCCTTTCTGGGCTGGCCAAGGTCGGAGCCGGCTCCCTCAGCTTGCGACGAGGTGTGGAGGGAGAGGTGCGTGTGGGAACCAGGGCGGCGTGCAGTGCTTGAAGGCCAGCGCGAGCTCGGCGGACCCCACACTCGGAGCCGCCGGCTGGCCCCACCGGCCCCAGGCAGTGAGGGGCTTAACACCTCGGCCAGCAGCTGCTGTGCTCAATTTGTCGCTGGGCCTTAGCTGCCATCCCACAGGGCAGGGCTTGGGTCCTGCAGCCCGCCATGCCTGAGCCTCCCCCCCATCGGTGGGCTCCTGTGTGCCCAAGCCTCCTGGATGAGTGTCGCCCCCTGCTCCACGGCACCCAGTCCCATCAACCACCCAAGGGCTGAGAAGTGCGGGTGCACAGTGCCAGACTGGCAGGCAGCTACACCTGCAGACCCTGTGGGGGATCCACTGGGTGAAGCCAGCTGGGCTCCTGAGTCTGGTAGGGACGTGGAGAAACTTTGTGTCTAGCTCAGGGATTGTAAATACACCAATCGGCACTCTGTATCTAGCTCAAGGTTTGTAAACATGCCAATCAGCACCCTGTGTCTAGCTCAGGGTTTGTGAATGCACCAATCAACACTCTGTATCTAGCTACACTGGTGGGGATGTGGAGAACCTTTGTGTCTAGCTCAGGGATTGTAAACACACCAATCAGCGCCCTGTGAAAAAAGACCACTCGGCTCTAACAATCAGCAAGATGTGGGTGGGGCCAGATAAGGGAATAAAAGTAGGCTGCCCCAGCCAGCAGTGGCAACCCACTCGGGTCCCCTTCCACACTGTGGAAGCTTTGTTCTTTTGCTCTTTGCAATAAATATTGCTGCTGCTCACTCTTTGGGTCCACAATGCCTTTATGAGCTGTAACACTCACTGTGAAGGTCCACAACTTCACTCCTGAAGCCAGCGAGACCACGAACCCACCTGGAGGAATGAACAACTCCAGATGTGCCACCTTAAGAGCTGTAACACTCACCGCGAACGTCTGCAGCTTCACTCCTGAGCCAGCGAGACCACGAGCCCACCAGAGGGAAGAAACTCTCAACACATCCGAATGTCAGAAGGAACAAACTCCAGACATGCCACCTTTAAGAACTGTAACACTCACCGTGAGGGTCTGTGGCTTCATTCTTGAAGTCAGTGAGAACAAGAACCCACCAATTCCAGACACATTGTGATGGGTGTGCTGGACCAGTGTGAGGTGTTCTGGGGTTGCCTAGCCCATGAGTCACGTTTGTTCCACCAGGGCTGCTATGTCAATGACCTCAGCCATCTGGGGAGGGACCTGAGGAAAACTCTCATCCTGGACAACTCGCCTGCTTCTTACGTCTTCCACACAGAGAATGCAGTGCCTGTGCAGTCCTGGTTTGATAACATTCCAGACAGCAGCTGCTGCACCTGATATCAGTCTTTGAGGACATGAGTGGAGCAGAGGGCATCTATACTAGCCTTGGGCAGCAGTGGGCCCTTAGCCTTTCCTGCTTCCCAGCAATGGCCATCACAGTAGGGGATTTTCCCACACTGTGCCTTTATGATCAGCCTGAAAGAATGAAGCCTGGAACACCTACCCACATGGGCCTGGAAACAGTGAGAAGTGATTGAAAAGAGCTTTAGGACAGCTTAGATTCCCAGTGGGTGAATGCCAGACCAAGGATACCCAGAGCTACCTGCCATCAAGTTTTTGGGTTCCCAAGATTGGGTGTGAGAGAAAGAAAGAGAGCATGTGTGTTTTGTGATGAACTGTGGGCCCAATATATAGTGTTTCAGTAGGGGAGAAGCTGAAGGACAGAGACTCTTCCCAAGTTAGCTTTGTCTCCTCTCCTGTCACCCTATGAGACCCTGAGTTCCATAGGGATGAAGACTGTTGAAGGCTCCATTGCAAACCTGGTCTTTCTTCAGTGCTGCAAGGCCTATGCCAAGGAGAAAGGAAAAGTATGTCTTTGGGTGTTCCAGACACACATCTTTCTGAAATATTTCTCCAGCCAGTTGTTGCAGACAAAAGATGATATTTCTGGGAAGATGGGGACTTATGTCCAGACCAGTACCCAAACCATCAGGTCTTGTGGCCTAAAGGCTATGCTTACTTAAGTCCAGCCAAGTGCCTGGGATGGATCCTTTCTGCATCTCCTCAAGACTCACCACTTAGGCATAGCCTCAAACCTGTGGGGAAGGAAGTTGTCTCCCCACCCTGCAAGAGGACAAATAACTGATTTCTCTTCTTTCGACTCTGTTTTAAAATTCTCTTAAAAAAAAAAAAAGCCTATCTGAAACTGAAAAGAAAAAAACAAAAAAACAAGGAAAAAGATGTCATACTTACATAAGTGAAAAACATACAGATATATCTATAAGCAACAAACACAGCTAATTCACACATATATTAAACATCACATTGAGATAAAGTGTACCGAGCTAAAAATTATCTTTCAACTGATGATATCAAGCTTTAAAATAAAAATACATTTAACTGATCTGAGAAAACATAACTCCCAAGAAAAGAAACACAATAACACGGACTTGAAAATAAGAAGAGAGATTTTCGTGCATAAAATCCTGAATACAACATAGATTTACAATGGAAAATAACCGTTTTTTTTTTTATTTTTTTTTTTGAGACAGAGTCTTGCCCTGTTGCCCAGGCTGGAGTGCAGTGGCGCGATCTCGGCTCACTGCAAACTCTGTCCACTGAGTTCACGCCATTCTCCTGCCTCAGCCTCCTGAGTAGCTGGGGATACAGGCGCCTGCCACTATGCCCGGCTAATTTTTTGTATATTTAGTAGAGACGGGGTTTCACCATGTTAGTCAGGGTTGTCTCGATCTCCTGACCTCGTGATCCACCCGCCTTGGCCTCCCAAGGTGCTGGGAATACAGGCATGAGCCACCACAACCGGCCGAAAAATAATTCTTTAGATATCTACAGCATTCAACTGTGTGCACTCATGAAAAGCAGACAATTTAAGTCATTAGAATTTAATAAATTGCAGTAAAATTATACAGAAAATACATTACAATCATTAATAACAGGCTCTAATGAGAGGAATTTAATAAATAATCATTAAAAATACAGGATAATTTTATTATGTTCTCAATATGTTGCTGCACTTCTTACCACAAAACATAATAAAATTATATGACTATAATATAGATTTCAAGAGCTAAAAAAGCCTTATATTTCCAAATAAAAGAACAACATAAATTTTGCAAAATATGACGAGCATTACTGCAGTATAAAGTAAATATCTGGAATTAAAATATACCATCATTTAGATACAGACTAAAAAAAAGAATATAAATGTTAATGATTCCTTTCTGCCTGCAGTGAGCTTAAAATTACAACCAAAAATTTTAATAAATATGTAGCACCTACAAGACATTTTATTAATAGCTTACATAATGTGGAAATTTGAGCAATTTATTTTAGAATTTTTGAATCTAAAAATCACCAGCTTGACATTCATTTGAGAAAGTGAAACATAAAGGAGAGTAACATAAGCAAGACGACAGAATGGGAGGTTCGGCATGCACATCCCCCACAACATAATGCAGCTGCCACGGGAAACATAAGTGCATTCATGAAAGCCTTAGAATCCAGTTCAGAGTTTGTGACACCCAGCTGGAGGCAAAGACCAAGGAAGACATCTTTAGAGGGTAAGCACTTGACCAAGTGGCAAGCTTGCCAATCATGGTCCTCGGTTCAAAACAGAATACTACCACATCTTACTGTAAACTTGGCTATGACTCATTTGAACTTGGTCCTGCCACTGCAAAAATCTGTGAAAAACACAAAAGAATTCATACTCATCTGAGACTTAGGTGACAGGCCTGCAGAACTTGGTTCTCTCTATAGTCCCTGAATCAGGCAAAACACACCTTCTTTCCTTCTCCAGCCAAGGTCTGGAAGAAATCTTCACATTGATATGATGAAATGCTAACTAACAATATGAAAAATACTAAAGTATAAATGTCACTAAAAATGGTAAATACATACTGAAATTCAGAATACTCTAAATTGTTATCATCTTAAACTAGACTATTAAAATACAAGAGGTTTTACATAAGTCTCATGATAACCACTGGGGGAAAAAAAAACATAGTAAAGAAAAAGAGAAAGTAATTAAAGCATACACAAACAACAAAAATTACACATTGGATACAGTGGCTCCTGCTTATAATTCCAACACTTTTGGAGGCCAAGGTGGAAGAATCATAAGCTCCTTGGGTGTTGTGGTACATGTCCAAGTAGTCCAAGCTACTTGGGTGGCTAAGGGGGGAGGATTGCTTGAGCCCAGGAGATTGAGGCTACAGTGAGCTGTGATATGCCACTGAACTTCAGTCTGAGCAAGAAAGCATAACTTTGTCTCAACAAAAATGAACAATACCACAGGAAAGACAGAACCAGAAAAAAAAGAAGCAAACTTAAAATGGACAGAAAACTACAAATGTACAATAGTAACTGCTTACCTATCACTACCTTACAAATAAAAAGATTAAATTATCTACTAAACAGATACTTCTGTAGACTGAATGTCATCTCCAAAATTTAGGATAAAATGGCCAATGTGAAAGAATTAAGAGGTGGAACCTTTAAAAATTAATTAAGCTATAAGCACTCTGCCCTCATGAATGGATTAATGTTCTTATTATGGGAATGGGCTAATTTTAACAAGAATGGATCTGTTATATATTAAAAAAAAAAAAGCTGTCTCTCCCTCACATCTTTGGCCATGTTATTATCCAGCAACTAGACCTTCAACAGATACCAGTAACATGTTCTTTTACCTTCCCAGCCTCCAGAATCATGAGTCAAATAAAATTCTGTTCTTTATTAATTACCAGTCTGTGATATTCTGTTATAACAGCCAAAAGAGACTAAAGCAGACAGAGTGGATAAATGAAACTTTTAAACCTCGTAATATGCTGCTTACAAGAGACTCAATTATGAATTAAGAGCATAGGCTAAAAGTGAAAGGATAGAAAATGATATTCCATGCAAATAATAGCCAAAGGAGTTCAATGGTAGTTATGCTTAAATTAGACAAAATAGACTTTCTAGCAATGTCTCTCACAAGCATGAAATGAGTTTACCATACAATAATAATAGAGGTTAATTTGTCAAGTGAATATAGCTATATATATTTATGCACCCAAAAGGGAGGCTTCTAAATATAAAAAGCAAATATGGGCAGAACTGTAGGGAGAAGTAGAAAGAAATCCAATAATAGAAAACTTTAATGAAATGTATAATAAAGGACAAATAGTTAACAGCATTGTGAATTTGCAAGGGAAAGCTGTTCTCCTGTGTTGCATTTGAGAATGCAGCAAAGAAAGTGGGAACTGATAATTTTACCACAAGCCTGAGTTAGGCTGAAAAACAGGGTGGTCGATTAGAGGTTCCACTTGCCATATATTAAAAAAACACAGGAGAAAACCAGTCCTCCTCTGGAGTGTTAAAATAATTAAAGAGCAGAAAATTAGACTAAAGTGGCTCTAGTGTCCTGGGTTCATAGGTTAAAAAAAAAAAAACAAAAACTAAAACCTAACTCAAATACATTTCCTATAAAGCATTATCTTAGCCTGAAACAAAATGCACGTTTAACCAATGGCAAACATGCAATTAACCTCTGAATATGTAACCAGGACATTTCCATCTGGATAGTTCAAATAAGGTGACTACATAACTGGAACCAATTTTTGAATTTGGGCTGCTTTCTCATGCATCTTATGAAAGCCTTTCCTTTATGCCCCTCTGGTGGACCAGAAATCATGGCTGGGTGCTTTCCATTTCACCAATCACTGTTTGTTCAGATAAACTGGTTAACGTTTTAACATAGACTCCCGTTAATTTTTAACAAGAGAGACTGGGGACCCCACGGGCCGCAGCTCCTCCCACGCAAACACCCAGTGGCAGTTTTTCCCTGATGACCCACCAGGCCTCCCTGAACAATCTGGGAAATACTCATGGCTGTGGGCGCAGAGCAGGGCGCTGCCCAGGGACAGCACCGGATGGGCCAGGCCGGATGTGGGGGTCCTCGATGCTGGCCCAGCGGCCATCTTGCAGCCACAGGGGACTGAGGGCCAAGCTGCGGGAGACTCGGAGCTAACCGTGGGGGCCGGTCCTGCCGGTTTCACAGCCTGCTGTCCCCTCTCGGGATGCCGAACCCCGTATACTCACCATTTCCCAGCTTCCAGGATGTCCTGTCATCTTAACTGTGCGTCCCCAAGGACCTACAGATCACAGGGCAACAGGGGCTGTGAAAGAGTAGCCCGGGGCTCCCAAAGCGGAGGAGGCGAAAGAGGAGACGGATCCCAAGTTCCTGTGCCAGCGCCAGCAAGAGACAAAGACCCGCCAAACGCCAGAAGCCACGCCCTCCTCTCCTGTCCTCTCCAACTGCGCGCCTGATTGGGCTGTTCCCACATCAGTGTCAATGACTGGATAAAACTCCAGGACTCACCCACCCCCGCCTGACTCCTGCCCCTACCCCCACTCCCCCTCAGCCTTAGTGCATTTTTGTTAGTTTGTTTTACTTTAAGTTCTGGAATACATGTGCAGAACGTGCAGGTTTGTTACATAGGTTTACATGTGCCATGGTGGTTTGCTGCTTCTATCAACCTGACGTCTAGGATTTAAGCCCCATATGCATTAGGTATTTGTCCTAATTTTCTCCCTCCCCTTGACCTCAACACCCTAACAGGCCCCAGTGTGTGATGTTTTGTTCCCGGTGTCCATGTGTTCTCATTGTTCAACTCCCACATATGAGTGAGAACATATGGTGTTCTGTTTCCTGTTCCCGTGTTAGTTTGCTGAAGAGAATGGTTTCCAGTGTCATTCACGTCCCTGCAAAGGACATGAACTCATTCTTTTTATGGCTGAATATTATTTCATGGTGTATATGTGCCACATTTTCTTTTTCCAGTCTATCAATGATGGGCATTAGGTTGGTTCCAAGTCTTTGTTATTGTAAACAGTGCTGCAATAGATATATGAGTGCATGTGTCTTTATGCTAGAATGATTTATATTCCTTTGGGTATATAACCAGTAATGAGATTGCTGGGTCAAATGGTATTTCTGGTTCTAGATACTTAGGGAATCACCACACTGTCTTCCATAATGGTTGAAGTAATTTACACTCCCGCCCCCAGCAGTGTAAAAGCGTTTCTATTTCTCCATAGCCTCATCAGCATCTGTTGTTCCTGACATTTTAATAACTGCCATTCCAAATGGTGTGAGATGGTATCCCATTGTGGTTTTGATTTGCATTTCTCTAATCATCAGTGATGATGAGCTTTTTTCTTTTTCCTTTTTGTGTGTTTGTTGACCACATAAATGTCTTCTTCTTCTTCTTCTTCTTCTTCTTCTTCTTCTTCTTCTTCTTCTTCTTCTTCTTCTTCTTCTTCTTCCTCTTCTTCTTCTCCTTCTTCCTTTTCTTTTTATTTATTTTATTTATTATTATTTTAAAGACGGAGTCTAGCTCTGTCACCCAGGCTGGAGTGCAGTGGCAGGATCTCAGCTCACTGCAACATCTGCCACCCAGGTTCAAGTGATTCTCCTGCCTTATCCTCCCAAGAAGCTGGAATCACAGCCACCCGCCAAAACACCATGCTAATTTTTTGTGTTTTTAGTAGAGACATGGTTTCACCATGTTGCCCAGGCTAGTCTTGAACACCTGACCTCATGATCCACCTGCCTCCATGGCTGAAAGTGCTGGGATTACAGGCTTGATCAACCACGCCCAGCCAAATGTCTTCTTTTGAGAATAGTCTGTTCATATTCTTTACTCACTTTTTGATGTTTTTTTTTTGTGTGTGTGTGAAATTAAGTTCCTTGTAGATTCTGGATATTAGACCTCTGACACATGGATAGATTGCAAAAATTTTCTGTCATTCTGTAGGTTGCCTGGTCACTCTGATGATAGATTCTTTTGCTGTGCAGAAGCTCGTTAGTTTAATTAGATCTCATTTGTCAATTTTAGCTTTTGTTGTGATTGCTTTTGGTATTTTATTCCTGAAGTCTTTGCTCATGCCTATGTCCTGAATGGTATTGCCTAGGTTTTCTTCTAGGGTTTTTGTGGTTTGGTGTTTTATATTTAAGACTTTAATCCATCTTGAGATAATGTTTGTATAAGATGTAAAGAAGGGGTCCAGTTTCTGTTTTCTGAATGTGGCTAGCCAGTTCTTTCAGCACCATTTGGTAAGTAGTAAATCTTTCTCCATTGCTTGTTTTTGTCAGGTTTGTTAGAGATCAGATGGTTGTAGATGTGTGATGTTATTACTGAGGCCTCTGTTCTGTTCCATTGGTCTATATATCTGTTTTGGTATTAGTACTGTGCTGTTTTGGTTACTGCAGCCTTGTAGTATAGTTTGAAGTCGGGTAGCAAGATGCCCCAAGCTTTGGTGTTTTTGCTTAGGATTGTTTTGGGTTGACAGGCACACAGGCTCGTATAGTTGGGGTCACCTGCCCAGAGTATCACAGCTAATTAAGAAGTGAGCTGAGACTTGAAATGCACATGCTCCTTCCCTTACCTGGGTCTGTTGTATAATGCATCTTAGCAGCTATTTAACAGTAGGAATTAGAACATTTGGACATCTTTTTAACAACTTTTTAACCTGCATTTTGATAATGCAGGAAAGACCTTCATCCCGTCCCTGAGCCCCTCTCTCACCACGCTACATCCCACTGCTGACCACATTGTAGGGTAGCCATTAGGAATCAGGCGGGCAGTGGGGGCTGGGAATAAATAAGCAAGGATTATGCTGCCCAAATTTGCTCATCTTAGAAAGTCTCCTCAACCATTCTGTGTGAAGTGATTATTCCAGGGTAATTGTGGCCTGACTGCGCTGCATGTCAGTCTGACTTGTCTTTTTGAAAATCACTGGATTACTCTCATGAACGGGGGTATTTCTCTTTCTATTTGAAAACGGCCAACTGTCCTCTGCAGGTGTCCTGATTTGCTAGTTTAGACCCTGAAGGTAGCGGTGAGAAAATATTTGGGCCACAACAGAATACCTATTCTCAGCTGGAAGATATATAGAAATTTCTTAATAATATCTAACCATTTTCTCAATAACCATTATATTTAACATTGATAGCTTGGAGGGCAGGGAAGGACACAGATGACACAATCTTCAAAGTTTATTTATAAGTTTTTTTTTTTTTGTTCTTGTTTAGTTTTGCTTAGTTTTTGGATACAAGGTCTTGTTCTGGTGCCCAGGGTGGAGGGCAGTGGCATAATGATAACTCATAATTTGGTTGTAACGGTTCTTTAAAATATATTTTTGCTGAGAGTGCTAGCTCACACCTGTAATCTAAACACTTTGGGTGGTCAAGGTGGGATTATCGTTTGATCCCAGGAGTGCAAGACGAGTCTGAGCAACATAAGTAGGCTCAGTCTCTAGAAAAATATTTAAAAATTGTCTGGGTGTAGCTTTGCATGCCTGTAGTCCCAGCTACTTGAGAGGCTGATTTGAAAGCATCACTGGAGCCTAAGAATTTGAAGATGCAGTGACCCATGATTCAGCCACTGCATTGACAGAGTGAGATATGTGTGTGTGTGTCTGTGTGTGTGTATAAAGAATTTGTATGTGAAAAAAATTCAAGCACAGGATAAAAGTGAAAGCCCATGGTGGGGGATGTGGAGAAAGGTCAGTGTGGCTCCAGCAACTCAGTGAGACTTGGTTTTCCATCTTGAAGAATTGCCCATCCACACTGACACCATAGCCTAACATATGCCAGTTCTCACACTACACCTGCTGGGATACCAGTATGTAGCCTTTTGAAAAAAATAAAATCTTTCACCTAAGAGAAGGACAAGAGAAAACGAGGGTTTCACATCTAAAGCCTTCATTTTCTTTATGAATCAACAGCCACTTGTCATTTCAATTGTCCAGAGGCGACTGACAGCACCAATACACTTAATGAATCAACCAGGAAAAATGGGCCTCTCAGGTGAGGAGGAGGCACAATGGTCACAAAACCCAATCCGTTCTCAGCTTTGCATGGTGCTCGCATCTCAAGAAGTGGTGTTAGCCATGTGAACCGTGTTCACTGGACAAGGCCAGAGGAAAGAATATTTAGTACAACACAACTATGGGGCTGCAAATCAAACTGGTAGTGAGAGCATGCATGAGGCTTCAGTGGCCGAGACACTGGTGGCTACCCTTCGGTGTCACTTAAACCTTTGAGGTGAAGGACGTTTATTTTCCCCAATTGGCTCAGAGAAACTAATCAACATTAATATTGAGATTTGTTTTTCTTTTCAAAATTTCTAAGACACAGAGGACTCTAACACTCCAAAAGACATTCAGATATTCTTGCAGCTGAGGACTTGACTGCTCTGTAGAGGGATGGCAGAGCAGCAGCCACCAGCTTTAAGAGCTTTAAGCTCCTCCTCTTATAGGGAAAGGCCACCCCCACACAACCCCCCTAACTTCATAGGCTCTGGCTGTTAGGTGCACCTGGGGGACTGTCTTCCTCCCATCTCATTAGCTCTCCAAGACAGTTCAGCTCAATCTAAAACCTACCCTAAGATGGCGGTATGTAGACTCTCCTCCATTCTCCCAGCGCAGTGTGACTTCTGGAGAGTGCTCCCCCATCGTCTTACCTCAAATGATGTGAAAAGAGCTGGTTCCCGGGTAGTTAGATGTTCAGTGACCTAACAGGCCCAGCATGCGCAGGGCCTGGCCCCACAGCCTGGCACCTCTCTCCTACCTGGCCTTCACTTCGACCTTTTCTCTTCTGTCACCAATGTCAGGTGATGGTCACCAGTGCCACACTCTCATGAGCTTGGTAAGTAGCAGGGGTGTAAACCCCAACAGATTTCCTGTGACTCTACCCTCTTACCTCCCACTCAAGTGACATTATAAGCATAATTTTATATTTGATCTAATTTATGCATAACCTTTTTATAACATTTCTGACAACAGCCCACACAACCACATGAGTCTGGGTTACAGAACACACGGGCGAGGCTCGGGTAGCAGGTTTCACTTACTTTATTCCAATGTGAAATGAAGATTGATGATTTAAAAACAAGACAAAGTTGTTTATCAGCTGTGGGGTGGCTACACTTGCTAGCTCATGCTCACTTCCTTTGAAACAAGGTATCTGGACAGACCATATTCATAAGTAAGACTTCGCAAAACCTCAGACAGAAGTTCCAGTCAGACACAGCTCCCTCAGGCTCACAGGGTGGCAACCGCCTCCATGTTAGGCTCTGACAGCAGGCAAGGAAAGGAGCACAGGCAGCAGGGGACAGGGAGGGTCCGGGACTGTAGGGATCCCCAAATGCCCCAGAGCTATTCTCTGTAGAAGGGCACACGCAGGTCTCACTGTGTCAGTGCAGTGGCTGAATCATGGGTCACTGCAGCCTCAATCTCTTAGGCTCCAGTGATGCTTTCACCTCAGCCTCTCAAGTAGCTGTATGGCAAAAAGCCTCCTACTTTTTACTTAAAACCTGGACTTTAAGCCAGGTTGGGCCTGGGAATAGTGGCAGCAAAAGCAGCAGCCAAATGTATACACTTCAGATGTCTACACTCATGGGCACAGGCATATTCCACACTTGCTGGAACACGAGACGCCTGAGAGGCACCTGTTTCCCAGCTACTAACTGATGTCCACACACCCCATTCACGTGTCTTCATTTAGGTCTCTGCATCGTATATTTGCTCAGCCAGTGCAAACACATCTTCTAGGGGGCAACATTAATTGCAGCACCTGCCCCACTTGTTCTGGGAGGGAGTCAAGAGGAATCTGGTCAGCTCCTAATCCCCCAGGACAAAGGTGATGCCCCCTTTTCAGGACTTACATCCAGCAGCGTCATCTCGGGATGGGTTTTTCAAACACAAGCAGCATGAGGTAGCAAGCATGGTGTGACAGGCTCAGGGCCATGGGCAGCCGGCTTCTGGAGAAGCAGCACAGGGCAGGCACATCTGTGGGTGGCACCATGACAAGCCAAGACAGCCTCAGCCCCTAATCCCAACAGCTCCAGCCCAGATGGCATTCAAATCTTCCCGGATAATATGGGGGTGCCCGATGCCCATCACTCGCCCTCTCATTAGCACGGCCTTGTTGGTTACTCAGGGACTAAGGAGAGGGGGTGGGGGATGTAGATCCAGGGTGGGCACTGCCTCACAGCCAGAGTCCACCTGACTGCAGGCCAGCAAGCAAGCCCAAGCAGCTCAGCTCTAGTCACCTCTGGCTGCACTTTTTATGTGTAATTTACACAAAGGCAGCAAAAGGAGGTCAACATTAGCTGTTGTGACATGAAAGTCTATGCCTCATTAAGACCTTAAAATGCTATTGTCTTAAGCTCTCTTTACTCTAATAAAATTTATACAAATAAACACATACAAGGTGAACTACTATAAAGGAAATATTAGGATTTTTTAAACCCATAAACAGACATGAAAACAGTCACTGTTTGATTGCAGAGAAAGTGAGCTTCTAAAGCACCTGACCACAAAACAGCCTCACCAAACCCCAGGCAGGCCAGGCAGTCTGAACACTACAAGGCCACGTGATGGTCACAGAGGATGACAGCTCCCATGAGTATTGCAAGGCACTGTGTTAGCTTCTCACTCACAGTCTCAGAATACCCTGTGAGGGGAGGCCCCGTCTCACTAGAGCACAGGAGGTTCCTGAGCTCTTCCCAGAAAATGGTCATCAAACGATGGAGCAGGGGGAAGCCCAGACAGAACAAGTGAGTCCCTAGGGTCTCCTTAACCTCCCTCAGCTCCTCCACATGGGTTCCTGAGGGAAAGTGAGCAGTCTCCTAACCCCTTTGTTAGGGTTCCAGTCCTGCAGGTCTGGACTCTCTCATTTTATGCTACCATAGGGGATGACAATGCAACCCCAGGCTCCTTTTTTGCCATCCCTCAATGCCAGGCCAGGCCCAGAGCCATTTGCTGACACAGCCCAGGGGATGCTCAAGGCCCACCTCGGCACAGTCACCTGTAGTGTACTGAGATGAGCAAGGAGGTGCAAGTAGACACAAATCCCCATGGGCTTGGCCTCAGCTATGTTCCACAGGCTCAGGGCCTCGCAGAAGAGCTCACAGCCCTCCTTCAGGAAGCCTGCAGATCACACCCTCAGGGAGCAGTGCTCAGATGAGCAGGCAGGCCCCACATCCCCCACCCCATGACGCTCTGTTCCACTTTGCAGGCTTCTGCATTGGCCAGTCCCCACTGCTTTCTGGTGAGATGTCCGAGTTGAAGTGAGTGTTGAATGCCACACAGCTGATGGAGCTCACTGCCTTGCACATGTTGTAAAACACCTCCTGGTTACAAGGGTCAGCTGTGGAGACACAGCTTGATGGGAGGTAGGCCCACTCCACCATCAGTAGTGCTGGGTTGCCCTGATCTGCACCTTCCAGATACTTGCTGAGATATCTGCATGCTTCTCTAAGGGACTGGGTCACGAGACACCCCTGGCAAGGACCAGCTGGCAGAACAGGCTGGACACTCTCCTTCAGCCTCCCCAGCAGCCCTACCTGTGCTGTCATCTGTGCTGATGATCTCCGTGGTAAGATTATGGGAAACTTTTACAGCAAGTTTTCCTTTCTCACTTCCCTATCTTAATAACAGCACTGATAACTTTTAAGCCCTAGAAAGCTGGAACTGCAAGACACATGATCTTCTGCCTTAGAAGGTCCATGTTTGGGCAGTGTGTGCCCAGGTGAGAGCCCCATGGTTGTTAGTGGAAGCCGGGAGCTGGATGGGCCTGGCCCCATAGCCTAGTGAAAAGTGGGACCCTCTCCTTCCAGAGCATGGAAGTCTCAGAGGCTGGAAAAAGGTGCCTGAGTGGCCTGCCAAAAAGCATAAGGCTAGAAGGGCTGGAAGGAACCCCAACAGTCTTCAAGGTGCCTGAGAGGGCTGGGCTCATTCCAGCTTTCTTTGCTTTCATCCTGATAGCAAGAAAACCTGCTCACACATGGCAGGCGGGCCTGAGGCTACCATTCCCTCATCAGGGGCTATAGGCACTTTAATGTGGCTCTTTCTTGAAGCAGCTGCTCAGGCCGGTTCTCGAAGAGAAGTTCCCTCATTATCCACAGGTTCTTGTTCCAGCCCCGTGTCTGCAGAGGGACTAGGGAGGGAGAAAATCTCTCAGCCTGTGCCCCACAACCTGCTCTGAGATATCTCTTTTGTTACTTCCTCACGGACAGCATCAAACTTCCAAATGAACAGACCAGCATGGAGCCTCCAGAAAAGTGCACAGAATTCTGTCTAGTACCCAGATGGAAGGGGGTTCCCAGTGAGGGCAGGGCCAGGCTGCATGCACCTCTTCAGGAATGTTCTCCTCATTGTCCAACTTCAAGGTGTGCATCCTCTGTGTGTATGCAGTCCATGGCAGGCTCTGCCTGGGGAACCGTCCAGCTGAACACCTGCAATGTGGTGGTGACCCTCTTGAATGAGTGGTTGTGGGCCCCATGGCAGTCATCAGAGAGGGAGATGCTTAGCCCACCAAGCCGAGAGCCCTGCCACAGCCTTCTGTGAGGCCTCCATCTGCTCTGGGTTCTTGCCCTGAAAGGCTGTCCTGAAGTCAAACAGAAGAAGGTGGGCCTCTCTTCCAGGGCTGCTCTTTATCCCACTGACAGCTCCCTAGAGGGCGACTAAGACAGCGGGGACAGATTCCTCAGGCAGAAGGACTGGAGTTTAGGCTGACGGGTTCATTCCATACCCCCACATGAGATGACACAAGGCAGGGGCTGTGGGACAAAGGCATTGCCTTTCCTTCTGGGATGAGGAATGGCATAGGAGACAGGGTATGGTGGGGCTGGGGTTGAGCGATGGGCTTCACTGAGTAAGTGTCCTGGTTATCTGTCCACAGACCCAGAACAAGTGGCATCCCAGGAGCCTGGGAGGGGCTGGCAGAGACTTACTGGTTCCAGCAAAAGCCCATGTGGATGCAGCAATGCTGCCTGCTGGTCCTTGGCTGTAATTACAAACAGGTACTTGAGGTCCCCATGCATCTTGCAGCTCTCAGAGAGTGTGTTCCAGCTGCTCATGGTAGGCACTTTTAGTCACTGAACGTGCTTCAGGAATGGCCAAGCTTGATTAAGCCAGGCGTCTTGCTGTGAGACCCTCCACCCAACTGAGGACCCTCTTCCTTGTTCCCCCTGGCAGTTTCACCTTCCAGTTCTGGTTCTAGAGACACGATGGCCCCTCTTGGGCCCCTGGGAGAATGTGCTCAGGTGACACACTGTCGACAGGGCCCATTTCCAAGCCATTCTTCCATTTCCCACTGTTTGAGGGGCTGAGGCCGGTGATCAGCACAGGGCCACCCAGGGCCAGCTGTCTGCACCTAAACATCATGCTGGTCTGGATGTCTCAGGGCCAGAACTCTCCAGGTGAGATGGCCTGGTCCTCAGCACCTGGCCTCCGTGCTCCTTTTTCCTCTGTTCAATCCTGGCCCCAATGCCTCCCGCAACTCTCAGGTCACCATTGGAGAAGATGCTCAGGAAGAACAAGAAGCTGCAGTCAACCCTGCTGAAGGTGGCATATGGGTCCAGGCTCTTGAGCTGGTCTTCGACATGGTACATGTGGATGCAGGCTTTGAGCAGTGTGAGTAGCTCTTTCCGGAAGGAGGGGAAAACGGTGTTTCCAGGGTCCTACACCCTAGAACGACCCATCTAGCACAGAAAACAGTTTGCAACGTGCTATCATGTGTGATTTTAATTTTCAACTTTAGGCTTTCATTTTCAATTTCCACAATAAACACATAAGGTGGGGTTCTGATTTCAACACACACACATTCTCTCTCTCTCCCTCTCTCTTAGAATCTTCCAGTGCGTTCACACTGAAAGCCAAAGTCCTCCCAGAATCTTGTGAGAACCTAAATGATCTGAATAGTTTGTCATTGATTTTGGGGATCTGGGAAAATCTCTGCACATTTCTGGAGACCGCTGTTATGCCAATTTTAATAAATCTGTTGTGCTTCAATTCAGAAGTGTGTGAAGGGAGTTGTGGAGGAATTGGCATTTGGGTTAGAAATTCCAGGAACACCAGAGACAGATGACACCTGTTTTCTGCTTCATAATGTCAAGTTTTACGATGGCTAAAACCTAATTCTACAAGAAAATTAGACTGAAAAACTTTATAGGCAAAAATTATCTTATTAAATAGGAAAATCTAAGTATTTTATTTTAAAATTTCCTTTTTCTTAGTAGGACCTAATCATAGAAATGTAAACTCTATATGCCAACAGCCTCTACTGTAGGATGGTTTATTGTATGTACTCATTTTACTGATTTCTTACAAAAACTTTTTCCGTAAGGGAAATTAGAATATTGTTCAACATATATTGAATTCACAATTATTACTTTATTTCTCACTTAGTATTTTATGATTCTGTCTTCTTTAATATGAAGATTACTATGACTGTGTTTTCACTTTCTGAATTATCATGTGTCACATTTGTCTGTAATTTCCTTTCAGAAGTTGTAAAATAGCATGCTCAAATGTATATATTATGTATAAATTATATAATTTATAATTTATTAAAATATTTGGCTTGTATGTTTAATTGACTCTAGGCACAATGTTACTATTAGCATCTTCTTCCAGTTTTCCCAACTTTTATTTGACTAATAGTACAATTTATTTCCAATTTTTATTTTATATGTCAATGTTTTATACTGTATTTACAATATTTATATTGTTACCATATTTAGAAATGTAAGACTTTTCAATTAAAAGCTAGATTACAGCCTTATCGTTTTGTGTAAGAAAAGCAGCAATGCATCAGTAGCATAATTTAAAACTTTCTCTAGTATTACTTAAATGCTTATTCCTTAAAACTTTCTCATCACAGCTCTTTGTATTAATTATAATGTGTTTTCTCTGAAATGTTGTTGCCCTAACTGTATCCAAATAATTCAAAATTCATACTTTTCATAGATTCACAGGAAGAGTTAAAAATTGTAGTTACCTGGGATTCTTTTTCATTTGGACACTATGTTTATTCAGGATTTTATGGATTAAAGTTTCTCTTAATTATGTTTTATAATTTTATGTTTCTGTATTTTTTAGAGTAGGCTGTCTCACATCAGTTAATTGTGTTTTTACTTTCTACCTATTTATTATGATTTTGAATTTCATTATTCAAATAAGAATTTGGGGGTTAATGTTTATTTTAACTTTGTTTTGCAATTTTACATTTCTGTGTTTCATGTTTTAGGGTAGGGCACCTTATATTAGTTTATTGTTTTAAGTTTTAATTTGTATAATATAATATTGTATAACAATATTCAACTCTGTATGCATTAAGACAGTGTGGGGCAGAAGTCAAATATGAACCATCCCTATGTCTTTTGTTAATACAATGATTTAACTGTTTGTTTGCCTGTATAAATATTGCCCCTATTTTGTTTATGACTTTTATATTTTCTTCTTATTTGATGGCCAATAATTTATTCTGTCTAAGTGAGTAATCATGGAAATTGTCTTAATTTCAACATCTATTGTTTATATTATCTTAGTGTGAAGGAAAGATTTATGTGATTTGAAGATAATTTTTCAGAAACTTTGTAACTCTCTCCCTTCGGGTGTCTTTTTTTTTTTTTTTTTTTCTTTTGACAGACTCTCACCCTGTTGCCAAAGTGCAGTGGCACAATCTTGGATCACTGCAACCTCCACCTCCCAGGTTAAAGCAATTCTCCAGCTGCTGCCTCTTGAGTAGCTGGCATTAAAGTTCTGCACCACCGCGCCTGGCTAATTTTTGTATTTTTCATGAAGCTGGGGTTTCACCATGTTGGCCAGGCTGGTCTTGAACTTATGGCCTCAAGTAACCTGCATGCCTCAGCCTCCCAGAGTGCTGCGATTACAGGCATGAGTGATCACTCTTGGCCCTTGGGTGTCATTTTTAATTTCGATTGTGGTAAAAATACATAACATAAAATTTAGAATCTTTAATATTTTTTCTTATACAGTTCAGTCATGTTAAGTGTATTTACATTGTTAAGCAACATATTTGTAAAATTTTTTCTTTTGCAAAACTAAAACTCAGTACACATGAAATGACAACTACCCATTGTCCTTACCACCTGGCTCCTGATAAAAATCATTCTATTTTCTGGTTCTAAGTTTCAATACTTTAGATATTACATATAAGTAGAATCATAGAGTATCTGTTTTATTGTGACTAATTTTACTTAGCATTATGTTCTCAAGATTCCTCTTTATTGTGGATGGTACAAGATTTTCTGCCTTTAAAAGCTAAGTAATATTCCATTAGTTTTATATTACAAATTTTATTTATTTATTCATTCTATGAGGAAAATTTGTGTTGCTTTCACCTATTGGCATTTCTGAATAATGCTGCAATGAATATTGGTATGCAAATAGCTATTTGCTCATATGTGTGAGGTTTACATGTGTGCTACCTTCTGTTTTATTGGAAAAATTGTCTGTGTTTATGCCAGAAACAAACTGTTTTCATTGCTGTTGCTTTGTAATGTGCTTTGAAATCAGAAAAGGTGAGGTCACTAACATTGTTTTTTTTAAACATTTTGGGGCTCTTTATGGTCGCTTGAGATTCCATATAATTTGTTGGTTCCTTTTTCTATTTCAAAAAAAAAGTTCTTAATTTAAAAGGGATTGCATTGAATCTGTAACTCGCTTTAGACATCATAAGCATTATTCATAATATTAAGTCTTACAACCCTTAAACATGAGCATGCTCAAAAGTGAGTTGTTTAATTTCCATATATATGTTGCTATTTTTGTTTTCTTCTGTTATTCATTTCTAGTTTTATTCCATTTTGATCAGAAATAATAGCCATTGAAAGGCTAAACCACTCTGGGAAGTGACCCCCATTATAGAACATTACAAAGAGATGTGAGGGCACCACTTCTGCCCTGATGGGCTACTGGGATGAGTTCTCTTAGATGACACATTGCAGACAAATGTAGGAAACAATATAACCCCTTTTTCATGTAAACTCTTCCCTATTTTTGTAGAGTATTAGTGATAGTGGTGGCTTTCAAGTCTTGGAGAAAGTCTGGCAGTACCATGAACCTGCTTGCTACAGATGATATCAGAGGGGAATAATTAAAACTATACAAACTGTAGTAACATGAATAAATGCAGCCTAGTGTAAAGTAAAAACAACACAAAGGCCTTCTCTGATATTTCTACAAGAATGTAAAAAGGGACTTTACACTTAACCAAGTTGCCACTGGGACCAGTTAAGGCTAGATTTTTGGGGGGTAGATCTGAGGGTCACTCATGGAAATCCCCTAGGAGAAAGCGCAGAGAAATTCCATATTTGGGTCTGGATCCTGGACCCATCCTGGTTTTGTCAGGTCCCTCTCTGTAGAGAACCCCATGTGCCTGCTCTCAACATAACTCATTGTATGCCATGCTTGGGGGGTGTGGTGAACCTGCCAGTTGTCCAAGGAGATGGGGGACTTGAACCCATCAAATATCTGCTCACTGATTTTAATGCAGCTCTACAAAGAGTGTTCCCAGCAGCGAAAAAAGTTAATTGTCTTCTTTGTTTTTACCACCAGGTGACATCTGCATTAGAAATTCTGTTTCCTAGATCAGGAACATAGGAGTATCTGCATAGACCCCCAGCCAATGAGGAAACCCGAGGACAGCTTAAGGCCTTGGGATTCACATCTGAGTAGACGTACTTGGTCCGCAACTCACAACTTTTTATTCCACCAACCGTGACCTGGGTATGAACATGACAGACCCACCAGGGTTCCTGTGTCTTAAAACCTGCCCCTGTGAGGAAAAGCCCCCTCCTTTCCTGCTCCCCTTGCAACACAGGGTAATGGTAGGCAGGGTCGGGTTGCCCAGATTAGATGACACAGGTGGCCTGGCATGGACGGACCTGCCCTGGGCTAAACTGTGTTACCTGTGGGTGCCTCTTGTCGAATGGCCAGTGGTATCAAGGATGTAGGCTGAGCCAGTATGTATACTGTCAGAAAAGGCTCTCACTTTGAGCCTTTCTCAGGCAACAGCTTGGGAATATAACACAATGAGAACACAGTGCCCTCTCAAGCATCTCCCAAGAAGTTAGCTAGATACAGGGCTGTCTCTAGAATGTGGGTTTCTGGTTCCCAAAGTTCTAAATTCTGTTAGGTTTTGTCACAAGGGAAGTCTGTTAACTTCTTCAAGGTTTTATCCCCTGAGCCCTTTTCCTCCATAAATCTACGCAAAGTCCCTGCTGGGCTGCTGATTGCTCACCCTCCTCTCCCATGTCAACTCTTTACCTGTAAACAGTTATGCAAACACAATTATGTCCCTTAATTCCCAAAAAGTTCTAAATGCAGCCAGGGCCCCAGGTTTGAGAGAACAGAGTTGGGTTAAAATCTTCTTTTCCTTTTCATTTCTGTGACCATATGAAAATGACTGTGTGCTTCAGGTCTCCCCAGCCCTGAAGTATGCATAATGGGATTATGCTAACATCAACTTCCAAAAACAGTCTTTGGTGATATATGAGATAGAATGAATCAAAATCGGTTGGATGCAGTGGCTCTTGCTGTAATCTTAGCAGATTGGTAGACCAAGGCAGCTGGAACACTTAAGGCCAGGGGTTTGAAACCAGCCATGGCCAGCATGGCAAAAACCCTTCTCTACGAAAAATCCAAAAATTAGCCAGATGTGTTGATGCATGCCTGTAATCCCAGCCACTCAGGAGGCTGAGGTGTAAGAATCACTTGAGCCCAGGAAGCAGAGATTACATTGAGCCATGATCCTGCCACTGCACTCCAGCCTGGGTGACAGAGCGAGACTGTGTCTCAAAAAATATATATATATATAATGTATATAAATATTTTTATTTATATATTATATATAACTATATATATATCAATTATATATAACTATATATAATATATAAACTTATACATATATATCTTTATATATAAAAGATACATAGTTTATGTATCTTTATACATAAAAGATATATATTTTATATATATGGCCTTAATTTTCCATTCCACAGCAGAAGAGGTTGAAATTAAAAGAAAATCAGATACTGTCTTCTGGCATTAAATATTCCAGTGCTGTGCATTATATTTAGAATCATATGTATATGCCTCATCTCAGCCTATGTGGTGGGCACCCCCAACAAAGTCTCACAACAACACTAAGTTGTGAGTGACTCTGTTATTTTAAAACGCAGCTCACCTCTCAGTGCCTCAGAAGCAGGTACTATAACACCGGGTTTCTAACAGAGAGATGGGATTCCAGCTCAAGTCTGTTTCCCTGTGCTTACTTAAAGGTAGTAATATTCTCAGAAAGGTTTAGGAGGTAGGTTCTGGATTAGTACGGAATTGCTTAAAGGAAAAATGTATGGAAAATCACTGGGCATGAACAACTATTTTTTCTTGCTACACACAGATCACATGTGCAAATTTGGGGACAGTTAGTACAAAACATGTGATGGAAATTTGGGCTCTGACATCAGTGAGCTTATTTCACACAGACTCCAGTTGACCATATTGGTTCCGACCAATTTTAGCCACTTTTTAGAAGTCTCATAAGTGGAATAAATTTCATTCTTTCAACAAGTTGTATCTTTTCTTATCTGTCATTCTGCAAACTGAAGAATTTCTGTTAGTCATTGGATGAACTCTTTGGGGACCTGGTTCTAGTTTCTGTCAAAGGGAAAACAACAAATGTGATAGGTTATCACTTCTGACTTAGTTCAGACTTCTATACCAAAAAACATAGACTAGGCAACTTATAAATAAAAAACATTAGTTCTAGAGGCCAGAAATTTGAGATTGGGCTTCCAGCATGGTTGGGGTCTGGTAAGGACTCTCTTCTGAGTTTCAAACTCCAGACTTCAGGTTGTTTTCTCATTTAGCAGAGAGAGGGAGAGACAGCCTTCTGCGGTTTCTTTTACAAAGCCCGTAATCGCTATCATGAGGTCCTCATGCTTCGGACTTAATTACCTCTGACCTGCTAAGGCCATTACACTGGGGATTAAGGTTCTGGTATGTGAACATGGTGGGGAATCACATAGTCTTCTGCAACTTCCAAAGTTATATTTCTAAAACAGCTATTATTTTCCTCTTACTTGCTCTGTCCTGTGTGTCCTCTCTCAATCTCTCTGTCTCCCTTTCTCTCTTTTTCTCTGCATATGTCTGTCTATCTCTTTCATTTTTCATCTCTGTATTGTAATCCTCAAGATGAGGAAGTGATCTGCAGTGTCCTAAGATGCTCTAGGCACAGACCCACATGATAGAGAACTGAGGAGATGCCCAGGCCAATCGAGAGGAAGGAACTCGGGCTCTCAGTTCACACTGAATCGTGCCAGTTTCCATGAGGCAGATAGAAGGCTGATCTCTCCTCAAATCCAGCTTCAGTTGAAATCACAGCCCCAGCCTCGTAAGAGACCTTGAGGCAGAGGCACCCAACTAAGCTATATCGAGATTCTGGTTCACAAAAGTTGTGAGATAGTATTTGTTGTCAACATGTGCTAAAATTCAGGGAAATTTTGTCAGAGAGGGGCAAATGACTAATCTCCTCTTTCAGTCCCCAGGATCCTCCCTCCCCTCTTTTCCTTTCTTTCTCAGGCTGCCTGCCGCCACAATTGTCCCGTTATAACCTCCTCTGCTGAACTCACCTGTGCCTGTGAGTCTCTTCACAAAGAGTGGCTTTTCCCTGACACACTTTGCACACCTGCGCAGGACTGGCTCTCTGTTGTCATTCTGGTCACAACATAATGTCACCTCAGGGAGGCATTCATGTCCCCTCCAGGCAACCTCTCCCCAGCCCTCCCTCCCAACATTCTACTTTATTTCCATTATAAAATGCTCTTTTCTTTCACATGTACTTGCTTTAGTGTTTTTGTCCTGCCGTCCTCAGACTGTGGGCTCCCCGCGGGGAGGCAGGGATAACATAATCATTTTTGGTACCATAAGGTGAACCTACCAAGGTAGCTGCCACATGGTGAGTGCTAGGGGAAGAGTCGCTGAGTAAAATAACATGGAAAATCACAAAGCCCTTCTTCCCACTTTTGGCCACCCAATAATGTGGAGATCATGAATGATAACAGGAGCTGCAGGACCTCAGCCTGTCTCTCCCCCGGCTCCAGCTGCTCCAGTAAAGCCCAGCGGGCATAAGAAACACGGGGTCTGCCGCCACCTAGAGGCCTCCACTAGCCCTGAAGTCCCAGGTGGAAGCATCACAAAACAGGCACCTGCATTGGGGAATTCTCAAGGCAGTGGCTATTCAAGGACCCCTGGGAAAAGGAGCAGTATCTGAAGACTCCAAGGGCCATAAAAGTAACCTCGGAAACCTCCCTTGATTCCTATTTTCCTCAGCCTCTTTGAGTGTGCTGTGCACTCATTAAACACTTTAACAGCATTCAGAGACATTATTTTCTTCCACTTCTGAATGAGGACCTCAAGGACAGCCCAAAAATCTAGTATTTTTTCTGGGCCCCACACTCCAGAGCCCAGTGCATTGTCACATTCTGCTTTATTCCAAGTCCTCATCTGCCCACATCTCTAGGCCTCTCTCTTCTCTGAAGGACCTCTAGAACCTGAAAAGCCTCTTCCCAGAGTCTCAAAGCACAGTGAGTTACCAATGAAGAGCCAAGGGGAGCAGACACTTATGAGTATCTAGAATTCTTGGTATTATTCCTTTTGAGTACCCCTATTTATGAGAGAGAAAACGAAGGTTTTCTTTCCCGTAGCCTCACTTTATATCACATGGGGTGGTTGGGGGAGGGCATAGCTCATTTTAGTTCCAGGTGCCCATAGAGGTGGGAGTCACAACCCCTGTCCTGTCCTCTTGAAACAGCTGGGAAGATCCCCAGGCCTGGAAGAACCCAGGGAACCTGGAGGATCCTTCATCACATGCTGTCAGCTCCTGGTCATGTAGCTGGGGGAGTGGATGCCTCTGCCTCATGGCAAAGCTGCCTCTTCTATTTCTTCCCGTTTTGTCACTTCTCTGGTTTCCTCTTCTCTAACCTCACCTCCATGATCTCCACCTTAGAAGCCTGTGTGTGTGTGTGTGTGTGTGTGGTGTGTTTGTGTGTTCATGGCTGCACACCTATGTGAGAATAAGGAAGGGTAGAAAGCCCAGGTAGAAAGTAGACCACAGGGTTTTCCAGGACTTAAGAGCACTCATTTCCAAAGCAAACCTGATGGGTGGGGTGCATGCAAGGCCTTGGAAGCTGGATCCCTCCCTAATACTCTGTGCTCTTCCCAATTTCTGGGATATGGACCAGTCTTTGCCTTTTTTGGGGGCCTCAGTCTTCCTGTTGTAAAATGGATAGGTGGTCACAAAACTGCATAAACACATGCTCAGTGAAGACAGGGTGTCATGCTCAATACCAGATAGAATATTGGGATGGGGAGAGTTTGAGCAGACTTTTGTGTCCACGGTAGCTCAGGCCTCTGAACAGGGCAAATGCAGGTGAACATAAAGCACGGCACAGCCAGGTTTTCTTACCAGGGCTACGGGATGAAACAGTGCACCACAGGCTCTGTTCTGGAGGCTGGTCCCGCAAGATTTTCCCTCCTTCAACCAGCAACTGTTTGATGAATTTCATGTCCTGTGAAGCCCATATCCACCCCCATTACAGTGAGGGGCACAGGGCACTAGACCTGTAAAATAATGTCTTTTGCCTTTTTTTCTTTTCTTTTCTTTTTCTTTTTCTTTATCTTTTTCTTTTAACTGAGTGGCTGTTTCTTCTTTCTCTTTTTCTGTTTTGTTTGTTTTTTAACTAATTTTTAAGAGGTCTTTACAGGTCAGCTGTGGTGCCTCACATCTGTAATTTCAACACTTGAGAGGCTGAGGCGGGCGGATCATTTGAGGTCAGGAGTTAAAAACCAGCCTGGCCAACCTGGTGAAACCCCGTCTCTACTAAAATTACAAAAAATTAGCCGGGAATGGTGGCACAAGCCTGTAGCCCCAGCTACTCAGGAGGCTGAGACAGAAGAATTGCTGAAACTTGGGAGGCAGAGGTTGCAGTGAGCCGAGATTGCACGTCTGCACTCAAGACAGGGTGACAGAGTGAGTCTCTGTGGAAAAAAAAAAAAGAGAGAGAGAGAGGGAGAGAGAGAGTGCCCTTTATGGAAATGCGAGCCCATTTGTAATTTCATGAGTTGTAAATATTTATTCCAATTTGGGAATTTCTTTTCTTATTGTGGTGTTCTCTTTAAGTTTGTTTTGGATGTTATTAGTGTTTTGTTTTGCTTTGTTTCTATGTAACTTCTCCCTAAATTGATTCATAGATTTCCATTTTCACAATACAATATTTTGGCAGAAATCTTGTGGAAACTGTCTAATCAGTTTAAAAAATTTAAATACATATAAAAAATCGAAGAAATGTAAAAACTGTCCTGAAGAATAACAAAGTTTGTGAGCTTAAAATGACATATATTCAGACTTAGATTAAAGCTATAGTAATAAAAGCTATCTATGGTAGTAATGCAAAAATAGGCACAAAGAAAACTAGAAAAACTCGAGAGTCCAACTCAGACTCACACATTTGGACATTTTGTATATTACAAAACAGGCACAGAAGAGGAGTGAAGACAGTCTTCTCGGTAAATAGCCTTGAGTCAACCAGTTATTTATGTGAGAAAAAACACTCCTATCTTATATTATTAACAAATTCCAATGAAAAGTGGATTTTAAATTTTAAGGTCAAAGCTGAAAGCAATATTTCTAGTAGATAACATAGATAAATATGTCCATGACTGGCACAGGCCCAGATTTCTTGGGACACAAAATGCATTAATTCTCAAGACAAAAATATGACAAATTGGACTTTATTACAATTAAAACCTTCTCTTCATAAAAAAAACCTTCAGGAGAGCTGAAAGGCAAGAACAAAGTGGAAATCAACATTTGTCATATATTGATGTGGCAAAAGCCTTTTATCTAGTTTATTTAACTAAATCCCATCAATTAATAAACAAAGATGCAATACATTGAACAAAATTGACAAACATGTGACTAGGAGTTCCACATACAGAACCGAAGGGCCAACAAGTAGATGAACATATCCACATCCTTATGCATCAGAACAATGCATATGAAAACTACAATTGAATGCCACTATGCAATCATTCACATTTTTGAAAACTGACAAAATTAAGTACTAGTGATGATGTCAAGCAACTGGAACTTTCTTATACCATTCTGTGTGCAAACTGTTATAACGGCATTCAAAACCTCTTGAGTAGTAACTCCTTACATACACGATGTACATAAGCACACTCTAGGACCCAGCAACTCTGCTACTAGGTATATACACCCAATAGAAATGCCAGCATATTTTCCAATGCAGACAAATGCTCTAAGCAGCATTATTTGGTACTTTTCCAAACTGAAAAAAACTCAAATGTGCATCAGTAATAAAATAACTAAATAAAACAGCTACATATTCCTTTATAAGGGGACATTATACAGATATAAAATTAATTGGAGACATATTAAAATATACAAAAATCTAACAAATACAATTTAATTAGATTTAAAAGTCCTATCCACAGCAATCAGCCAATAGAAAAGAAAAAGGCATACAAATAGAAAAAAAAAATGAATTCTCTTTCTCCATTTGCATTATGAGTCACTACGTAGACAATGCTAAAGTCTTTCCAAAACTCCTTTTGGAGAAAACTTGAAAAGCCTCCTGAAATGGATAAGCAAGTAAAGTTTTAGGACACAAAACCAATGTACAAAAACCAGTAGTATTTCTATGCATCAACAACTTTGAATTCCTGAACATCTTCTGGTTTTATTGCATTTTCAATTTTTTCCCTCCATTAACTATACATTTTTTCTTTTTTCAGCTAAACTAATTTATTCTTCTGTATAATTTCACCTTGTTAATAAACCCCAGGCCAAAAAGTGGGAATAAAGTATTTGTCTGCATCCTGTTTCCTCATTTTGAAAACTAGTCTAGATGAAACCTATACTTGTTCTAGGGAGTTGGCATAGACAGCATTTATTTCCGTTCTCAGCAGTGATGCCAACCAGAAAGAGGGAGTTCCGCATTTTCACTTTGGTTAGACAGGACTCTGGATGGTTGTAGGGGAAAAGATCCAAACTCTAAGGGAGTCAAATCAGACATTGCAAAGATTTATACATTTACTCTGGGAGCAATTATTGTGTTAAATTTTGTGCAAAACACTGCGCAAAGAGCAATTAAAGTGAAAATTATTAAGGCATTACCTTTACCTTGGGAAACTCACACTAGTCAGATTCTCCGAACCCCAGAACATAACAACAACCTAGTAAAATCTTGTTCAGAGTGAAGAGAGGGTGGGAGCAGGAAGGTAAGATTAAAAATTAGGCTGGGTGAATGAGATAATTACCCCTAGTCAAGCAGTGGAAGTATGGATGGCTTTGGGATGGGTGAAGACAAAAGAATCTCAGCAGAGGGTGCAGATAAAAAAAGGCAGAAACACAGGAGGCTTATGCAGGAAGAGGAATGAGTTTGCTGGACTGGGGAGAGTGACAGTAAAAAGCAGAGGATAATAGGCATCTCTGGTCATCTAGGGACTATAGGGTGGATTAGTTGGGGGTTACAGAATCAGTGAGGTACTTTTTAACAGTAGGATGGGTAAATAAGAGCTATAATTTGGAATAATTATGTAGCAATGGTGGTTAGGAGCAATAGAAACTCAAAGTATTACATAAATATTTTTTTTCTTATTCTCCCACACAAGCGTTTTGCCTTTCCTCTTAAACTGAGAACGGAGTGGTTTGCTATGATGTTTTTAAATTCTCACAGACAAGCATTATTGTTTGCTGCCTTTTAGTAAAGGTTAGTTTTAACCAAATTAAAGAAGATTGAATGGATTTTCTTGCTCATAAGGGTTGAGTGCAATATCTCATACCTTCTACTAGTTTTCAGTATAACTGAAATAACAGAGTGTCAATACTCCATGGAGGGGTGTTCCGCTTGCTAAGGCTCCCTCCTCTGGGCTAGGCCTTCTACACCATGGCTGTCCTGCTGTGGCTGGAGCTGGAATTTGGATTGACCTCTGTGTGTCTTCCTAGCACACAATAGGTGTCCAATTAGCATGGGCAGAATCAAGCTCCTCCCTCTCACCATTTATTTCTCCATTTGTCCCTTGTTGGGAATGGAGAGTCCTGCCACTGAGTTCAGCCCAGGGTTGAAGTTCAAATCTCAGCTGATACTTGGTGGATGTTGACTTTTTTGAGAAGAACTTGGGAGAATAAAACATTATAAAGGCGCTGGCCAGGCACGGTGTCTCATGCCTGTATTCCTGGCATATTGATTGGCTGAGGAGATAGAATTGCTTGAGGCCAGGAATTTGATACCAGCCTTGTCAACATAGTGAGACCCCATTTATACAAAAAACTTGAAGCATTAAAAACATTTAGCCAGGTGTGATAGTTCCAAACTGTTGTCTCAGCTATGCTGGATATTGAGGCAGAGGATCACTTGAGCCAGGAGTTCTAGGCTGCGGTGAACTATGATCACGCTACTGCACTCCAAACAGGCAACCACGCAAGATGATTCAAAAATAAAATCTTTTATTATTCTTCACCCCTATAGTCTCTCCAGAACTTGTGCACTATGTAGCAGAAAGAATCAAACTCCCCAAGAGTTTGGTTCTTGCTCATGATTTGGTTTTCTGCTGCTTGGCTGCCCCGTCATGTCCCCATTTTGTATAAAATAAGAACCCCCCAGTGAAGTGGAGTTTCTCCCCAGCAGAGGGTCTCACCAAGGCCCCAAGACTGGCACTTTAGGTGGAGGCTTGCCTTTCAGCCTCTGAATAATAATTGATACTAAAATTGAGAAGTTTTCCAGACACCAGCTTCCTGAAAGGAGCATCCAGTCAGAAGACAAGATGAGGTCAGTAGCGAAGGTGACTCAGGCTGAGTGGGGAAGTCCACCAGCGTATCTGAAGACTGAGCTAGGGGAGGGTTTCCCTAATGTTCACTCCTTCTGCCCTCCATATATTCCTCTACTTTTCCCAAACTTCCCTCTGACATCCTCCAAACTTTCTATCTTCCCAGGGCTTTCTTGCCAGGGAGTCTAATGAAGTAAAAGCTTTAAAATTGCTTTGATTTTAAAAATAATTTTATTGATTCTTAAAATGTACCGACACAAAATTAGAATACCAATTCTTAAAATGCTTAAAAAGTAAATTAAGTGTAAGTTTACATTTAATTATCTTATTTGATTCCTAATTAAAATACAAAAAAAATTTTTTTTGAAACAAGGTCTTGCTCTGTCACCCAGACTGGAGTGCAGTGGTGAGATCTTGGGTTATTGCAACCTCCACCCCCTAGGTTCAAGCGATTCTCATGCGTCAGCCTCCCAAGTAGCTGGGACTACAAGCACACACCACCAATTGGCTATTTTTTGTGTTTTTAGTAGATATGAGGTTTTGCCATGGTGCCCATACTGGTCGCAAACTCCTGGTCTCAAGTGATTCACCCACCTCGGCCTCCCAAAATGCTGGGATTACAGGTTTGAGTCAACACACCTGACCTTAATTTTTTTTTTAAATTATAGGTAAATTTAAATTACTCAGAAATAGTCAGAATTAACCGTTGAATACCCTGAATCTTTTTCCCATGCATAAGCCTTTCTAATCTTTCTATTCAAATTTGGATTTGATTCGGTTCTAGTGTTTTAAAACCTGCTTTTTTCCTTCAAAGAAATGCAGACCATCTCACAGGCCAATGGACATCACAGATTTTCTGATGCTTAGAGGCTGACTGGTTGTTTATCTATGACCTCCCATAATGTACTTAAGTAACACCCTCTTGATGATGGGGTTAAGTTGTTGAAATTACCTTATCTTTTCTGAAGCACTACGTGGAAAATATTAGATCTTGAAAGAAACACATAAACCCATACCACACACTTCCTTTGAAATTCTCTGCTGCTTATTTAAAGAGATGTTTATTCCTGACTAAGGTCCTACATTACACTCTCTGTAGAACTTTTGGAAACTATAAAATTACAAGAGAATCAATAAAGCAATTTAATTTCTCACAGGATCCTGCTTCCTATAAGAAACACATCAATTCCTATAATTCGGCATATTTCCTCTCAATCATTTTTCTACACATTTTAAATTTTGAGCTCTAATGTATAAGTTTGGTTATACTTTTTAATGTGTGCCTTTCATTAATTTGTTTAATGTTATATCATCTCATAAGCACTTCTCCATGTGATAAAAAATTCTTTGTACATCCCATTTTTAATACATATATGTAGCTCCAAAGAAAAGGCATATCTTGTTTACTCTTCTAATCCCGTAGTATTCGAAAACTTTGTTTTTCCAATTCTTTGAGATAATAAACTGGTTAGGGTTAGTATTTTGGTCCCCATTTAAATTTTCTAAGAGTTGCCTTTCTACAAGTGGCTAAGTGACTGTTACAAGGAGAAGAGCCCTCCTGAAGGGGTGTGCCATGGGGTTGAGGCCTCCCTGCAAAGTGCCTTCCTTGTGGCAGATCCCCATGTGTCTTTCTAAAATCAGCACAGTCAGACTGAGAGTGATTGGAATTCTGCAGCTGTGAGCCCTCTCGAATCTTCCTTGAATTCAGATGCAACTAATCTCCTCCTTGGTGGACACCAGGAAGTAGGCTGTAGAGCATTCTGTGACCCTGAAGAATGACACGATGTTCTTGATGAAGAGGGTGGATATTCCTGAAGGAGAAATAATGTTTTCTCAACAGCAGAAGCAGATATCAAGTTTATTCAATGACTGGGTCATGGAAAATCCTGTTCTCTACAGGTTGATGCTACATTCCAGGCAAACCCACACCCTCGGTGTATGCCAGAGGCTTCAGAAACACAAAGGAGCTCATACAAGATGAGTGCCAGGCAGCTATGAAAAGAGCTGAGATTCTAAACCACAAATAAAGACAACTACGAATATAGGTGAGACGAAAAACTGTAAACCTTCTTAAGGGTGTACAACATGTAACAACGGCTCCCATTAGCTCATGTTTAGATACCAAGGAAATAATAGCAGGAATGTTTTATGTTCACATTCCAAACAAAACCTATTATCATTCTTTGTCAGTTCATTTAGTCCTGTTTTATTCATACTTGTTTTACTCTATCTTGTAAGCACATATGCTTCTCTGCTAGAATTAGAGAAATAACTTAGTCCACTGATAGTGTTTCAAAGTTATGTAAGTCATTCTATCAGAAGCCTGTTTATAGGAGTACTTGGTACAGTTATTTCTGTGGGTCTCTGAGATATTCTTATTTTGTTGAAGACAAAGCCCTGTGGCCTGGAACTGATTTGCAAGCACTTTTAGAAAAATAGCCGAGTACAACCAAAAGTATATACTAATGAAAAAGTAAGCCATGCTTTCAGGTATGTAGTTAGTTGATACACTAAAATATTCTTTTATATAATGCAAACAGCACTAACACTTTAAAAAATAGAATTATATTATGCACAGTGAGGGCACTGGAAATTTTTTTAAAAACTTTAATTTCTGGATTATTTACGTTAATAACAATTATGTAAAAAATTTAACCTAGGGGAAGCTAAGCATATGTCTTATTATTTAATATAACAATATGCAAAATAGGCACGTTTCCATATATGATACTAGGACATAAAGTGTGCTGATACAAATATGAAACATAAAATATAAGTAAGAAATAGAAAAAATGACCTGTGTATGTTGATTATTTATATGTGTTTATTACTATTTTTAGTAAATTAGATTATGTAAATATGTATTATATTTTAGGCAGCAGCAAATATTAACATATTTTTTAACGTGCAGCTTAGATAAGAATTGATGATTACAATTTATTAATATTAGCTACTTACGACAAACATTATGCAAAAAGAAACTCTAAAAATAATTTTGTATTAACTTTGAAAATTTTAAACTCTTTTCCACAGAAGTTTTTAAATTACAGACAATAAAATAGAAAGTTTATAAAAAAGAAAATGGTACTGAGAAATAGTTGGATTTTGATTCATTATTTTTTCTGAATATTAGTACTTGGAGCTTCACTGTTAATAATGCCAATAGGCTACACAAATTTTCTCTTCAGTAAAATGGCAAAACAGAAGGCATTCAATTTTTAAATATAAGATGCAATTTTATTACCTTTTTTCTATATAAAAGACACAAAATTTAGACCAATAAAAACAGAATTTCTTCCATGAAATTTCAAGAGCTGAGCTGAGCTGGGAAGAGCTAACCTGCTTAATATCAGAGTTTTAAATTAAAGCAAGAGGCCCACATCAAAGAAATAGTTATGCCTTTTTGTCTTCCTTTCTGTGATTGTGTTAAACAACAGGCAACATTAGATCAAGCACCGACTCCTCATTGTTCCATTTTTTCCTCATGGAAAAGCACCAGGAAAGGGTCAGATGGATCAGCACAAATATGGGGCACTGTCTCACTGCCGAGGTGGCACCCTCATAAAAAACAGGCCCGCAATTTTGTGGAAAAGGGGGCAGGAGAGCGTAGAGGAGAATGTATGAGCAAGATTAAAGAGAATTGAATATTAATAGGAATCTATAAAAATTATTATCAAAGTTCCATTTCTTCTCCAGAAACAGGGATCTGAACAAAAGTTTCTGAAGAAGGCCTCAACCAAAAGGCCCTCAGGAAGGTGCCCCTGAATCTAGATGCCTGGACTGGGAATGAAAATCTACATGTGAGCCTCAGTGGCCAAGATTTCCGGTATTGTTTATTTCAGCCCCTTAGAGACTGCAAAGCGCTGACATTTACATGCTTCTCCTACATGCACATGTCAGCAGCAGTGTGATAACCAATGCTTTCAAAGATATAATGTGGGTATGAGAGTTTCTGGCAAAAATTTAGATAATCTTATCTTTTCAACCTCAAATAACAATATATGCTGAGAAACTTCAAAGGCATGTACCTCCACAAATAATTTTTCAGGAAAGAATGAAGAAGCACAGCTGTAGAATAAAAATTAGGCTGGAAGTTGATGCTACCTGTGGGAATTGCTAATAATGGAAGCACAGGTTGTTAGAATTTAACGTGTCTGATTGGTGAATATAATGTCACAGCAGCATAGATGCAGGAGTACTTGGATCTGACTATGCTATCTAAAGCTAGAATCCTTACATTTTCAAAAGTTTAGAAAAATAGGTTAGTTAGTGGAGGTGGTATTTCTCCTCTTTGGTTGATTTGGAAATTAACACCAATCATCATATGAGTTTCTGGTTTATATGTACACTATGTGTTTTACTCAGGACAATTTAGGTAAATATATAGACTTAATCATTTTCAGGTGTCTGTAAAGGGTGCATTATTAACATTACAGATAACTTTTCACTGGAATAAAATACCTCGACCCAGAATCTTCAATGGCCCCATCAATTGAGGTCAGTCATTTATAATAAAATGAAGTCTACTATTCTTTTTAAAATATACAAAGTAAAAGTCATCAAGATCAAAGTTATTAAGAAACAAAATTATAAGAAAAACACAGCTGTACCATTACATCTTAAAAAATCCCAAAATTGTATATATACTGTAGAAATAATATAAGTAGTTATAATGTTTAAATATATTAGAGGAAAAGTTTAAAAGTAAGATCAAAATAAGTTATATTATCAAAATAATTAGGTAAAAATTTTAAATTTAAAGGATAGAATGCATAGAAAAATTACATAATTGAAAAAGAAATTATGAATTAGAAGATATGATGAAGTGAATATTTAGAAGTCCCAATAGGGATAAAACAAATAAACAATATGAAAAATTAAAATACATAAAAATCTAAAATAAGTCATGTTGTTTAAGTGCAAGTTCGAATAAATAAAATGGAGTGAATGTCAAATAGGGAATAAAAATATATAATTATTAAAATAATTAATTATAATAGCTTAAAGGCATTCTGATCAAAAGAAAAACAATAGTTAAAAGCATAATACCATAATAGAGAAAATCACGTAAAGCTATCTAAGATAAAATTCAAATTAATTATAAAGCAATGAAAAGAAACATATTTCTCAATATGTGAATAAGATCAAGAATCCAATAGGTTATGGTTTTCAAAGTTCTGAGGGAAAAACATGTAAATTTAAAATTACATATATTTGAAAAGTTATTTTCAGGTTTAAGGACAAAATGTAACTTAATACACAAATACAATGTAAGTATAATTACGTCAGTGAAATGCATTTAAAATTTGCTGAAAATTTAGTTTATAAAGAAAAACACTCTTCCTGAGAACAAACATTGAGATAAAATAAATGTGCAAACATCTAAATAGATGGAAACTATATTAACACTGTGTGAAATTATACACAATATGTGATATATCCATGTGAAGCATATTTATGGAAGCATAAAAGAAAATGTTATCCCAAGAGTTATATTAAATAAAAGAGTAAATTTGATAATAGATGAGTAACTTATTTTATATCAGTATAATGTATATTTAAGAGATTTTTGTCACTAAATTATTAAATATTGAGTGCAAATCCTATATACTGTTTGAACAATACTATTATTTTCTCAGCAAAGATCAGCACTGAAAGACTGACTCCTGCATAGCCACTGACCACAGCTTCTGGAACAACAAAAGCATTGAATCATTAATCCTGAATGTGGCCAATGAGCATGAGATGAGGAAATCTACCCAGTTCATGACCACAAAGCAACTCACCAGCAGCTGGATGGCCTGGGTAGCTTATTTCTCTGGAGAGACTTAGACAGTGACTCCTGATACAGAGATGCTGAGACTGCATTTTGTGCCTGGAGGAGAGAATTACCACGTGTGATTGAGAGCATCAGTGTTCCTCCAGAAGAGACATTTCTAAATGCTGCTAGTGTGAAAACCGAGCTTATGTTCACGTAGCCCCTGGGGGAAGAAAAACAGTAATATTTAACAGTACATTTTAAGAACCAATAAAATTATTTTTAAAATCAAAGCAATTTTAAAGCTTTTACTTCATTAGACTCCCTGGCAAGAAAGTCCTGGGAAGACAGAAAGTTTGTAGGATGTCAGAGGGAAGTTTGGGAAAAGTAGAGGAATGTACGGCCCACTCAGCCTGGGTCACCTTCGCTACTGACCTCATCTTGTCTCGACTGGGTGCTCCTTTCAGGAAGCTGGTGTCTGGAAAACTTCTCAATTTTAGTATCAATTATTATTCAGAGGTTGAAAGGCAAGCCTCCACCTAAAGTGCCAGTCCTGGGGCCTTGGTGAGACCCTCTGCTGGGGAGAAACTCCACTTCACCTGGGGGTTCTTATTTATACAAAATGGGGAAATGAGGGGGCAGCCAAGCAGCAGAAAACCAAATCATAAGCAAGAACCAAACTCTTGGGGAGTTTGATTCTTTCTGCTACATAGTGCACAAGTTCTGGAGAGACTATAGGGGTGAAGAATAATAAAAGATTTTATTTTTGAAACATCTTGCATAGTTGCCCTGGTTGGAGTGCAGCAGCACGATCATAGCTCCCTGTAGCCTAGAACTCCTGGCTCAAGTGATCCTCTGCCTCAATGTCCAGCATAGCTGAGACAACAGTTTGGAACTATCACACCAGGCTAAATGTTTTTAATGCTTCAAGTTTTTTGTATAAATGGGGTCTCACTATGTTGACAAGGCTGGTATCAAATTCCTGGCCTCAAGCAATTCTATCTCCTCAGCCAATCAATATGCCAGGAATACAGGCATGAGACACCGTGCCTGGCCAGCGCCTTTATAATGTTTTATTCTCCCAAGTTCTTCTCAAAAAAGTCAACATCCACCAAGTATCAGCTGAGATTTGAACTTCAACCCTGGGCTGAACTCAGTGGCAGGACTCTCCATTCCCAACAAGGGACAAATGGAGAAATAAATGGTGAGAGGGAGGAGCTTGATTCTGCCCATGCTAATTGGACACCTATTGTGTGCTAGGAAGACACACAGAGGTCAATCCAAATTCCAGCTCCAGCCACAGCAGGACAGCCATGGTGTAGAAGGCCTAGCCCAGAGGAGGGAGCCTTAGCAAGAGGAACACCCCTCCATGGAGTATTGACATTCTGTTACTTCAGTTATACTGAAAACTAGTAGAAGGTAAGAGATGTTGTACTCAACCATTATGATCAAGAAAATCCATTCAATCTTCTTTAATTTGGTTAAAATTAGCCTTTATTAAAAGGCAGCACAGAGTAATGCTTGCCTGTGAGAATTTAAAAACATCATAGCAAACCACTCCGTTCTCAGTTTAAGAGGGAAGGTGAAAGGCTTGTGTGGGAGAATAAGAAAAAAACATATTTATGTAATACTTTGAGTTTCTATTGCTCCTAACCACCATTGCTACATAATTATTCCAAATTATAGCTCTTATTTACCCATCCTACTGTTAAAAAGTACCTCACTGATTCTGTAACCCCCAACTAATCCACCCTATAGTCCCTAGATGACCAGAGATGCCTATTATCCTCTGCTTTTTACTGTCACTCTCCCCAGTCCAGCAAACTCATTCCTCTTCCTGCATAAGCCTCCTGTGTTTCTGCCTTTTTTTATCTGCACCCTCTGCTGAGATTCTTTTGTCTTCACCCATCCCAAAGCCATCCATACTTCCACTGCTTGACTAGGGGTAATTATCTCATTCACCCAGCCTAATTTTTAACCTTACCTTCCTGCTCCCACCCTCTCTTCACTCTGAACAAGATTTTACTAGGTTGTTGTTATGTTCTGGGGTTCGGAGAATCTGACTAGTGTGAGTTTCCCAAGGTAAAGGTAATGCCTTAATAATTTTCACTTTAATTGCTGTTTGCGCAGTGTTTTGCACAAAATTTAACACAATAATTGCTCCCGGAGTAAATGCATAAATCTTTGTAATATCCTATTTGGCTCCCTTAGAGTCTGAAACTTTTCCCCTTCAACCATCCAGAGTCCTGTCTAACCAAAGTGAAAATGGGGAACTCCCTCTTTCTGGCTGGCATCACTGCTGAGAACGGAAATAAATGCTGTCTATGCCAACTCCCTAGAACAAGTATAGGTTTCGTCTAGACTAGTTTTCAAAATGAGGAAACAGGATGCAGACAAATACTTTATTCCCACTTTTTGGCCTGGGGTTTATTAACAAGGTGAAATTATACAGAAGAATAAATTAGTTTAGCTGAAAAAAGAAAAAATGTATAGTTAATGGAGGGAAAAAATTGAAAATGCAATAAAACCAGAAGATGTTCAGGAATTCAAAGTTGTTGATGCATAGAAATGCTGCTTATTTTTGTACATTGGTTTTGTGTCCTAAAACTTTACTTGCTTATCCGTTTCAGGAGGCTTTTCAAGTTTTCCCCAAAAGTAGTTTTGGAGAGGCTTTAGCATTCTCTACGTAGTGACTCATATTGCAAATGGAGAAAGAGAATTCAATTTCTTTTTCTATTTGTATGCCTTTTTCTTTTTTATTGGCCGATTGCTCTGGATAGGACTTTTAAATCTAATTAAATTGTATTTGTTAGATTTTTGTATATTTTAATATGTCTCCAATTAATTTTATATCTGTATAATGTCCCCTTATAAAGGAATATGTAGCTGTTTTAGTTATTTATTTTATTATTGATGCACATTTGAGTTTTTTTCAGTTTGGAAAAGTACCAAATAATGCTACTTCGAGCACTTTACTACATTGGAAAATATGCTGGCAATTCTATTGGGTGTATATACCTAGTAGCAGAGTTGCTGGGTTCTAGAGTGTGCTTATGTACATCGTGTATGTAAGGAGTTACTACTCAAGTGGTTTTGAATGTGGTTATAACAGTTTGCACACAGAATGGTATAAGAAAGTTCCAGTTGCTTGACATCATCACTAATACTTAATTTTGTCAGTTTTCAAAAATGTTAATGATTGCATAGTGGTATTCAATTGTAGTTTTCATATGCATTGTTCTGATGCATAAGAATGTGGATATGTTCATCTACTTGTTGGCCCTTCGGTTCTGTATGTGGAACTCCTAGTCATATCTTTGCCAATTTTGTTCAATGTATGCATCTTTGTTTATTAAGTGATGGGATTTAGCTTAATAATCTAGATAAAAAGCTTTTGCCAGATCAATATATGACAAATGTTGATTTCCACTTTGTTCTTGCCTTTCAGCTCTCCTGAAGCTTTTTTTTTTATGAAGAGAAGGTTTTAATTCTAATAAAGTCCAATTTGTCATATTTTTGTCTTGATAATTTATGCATTTTGTGTCCCAAGAAATCTTGGCCTGTGCCAAAGTCATGGACATACTTATCTATGTTATCTACTAGAAATATTGTTTTCAATTTTCACCTTAAAATTTAAAATCCACTTGTCTCGAAATTTGTTAACAATATAAGATAGGTTTATTTCTTTCTCACATAAATAACCAGATGACCCAAGGCTAATTACCGAGATGCTGTCTTCTCTCCACTGCTCTTCTGTGCCTGTTTTGTAATATACAAAATGTCTAAATGTGTGAGTCTGAGTTGGACTCTCGAGTTTTTCTAGTTTTCTTTGTGCCTATTTTTGCATTACTACCATAGATAGCTTTTATTACTATAGCTTTAATCTAAGTCTGAATATATGGCATTGTAAGCTCACAAACTTTGTCATTCTTCAGGACAGTTTTTACAGTTCTTTGATTTTTTAATATGTATTTAAATTTTTAAACTGATTAGACAGTTTCCACAAGATTTCTGCCAAAATATTGTATTGTGAAAATGGAAATCAATAAATCAATTTGGGGAGAAACACTAATAACATCTAAACCAAACTTAAAGAGAACACCACAATAAGAAAAGAAATTGCAAAATTGGAATAAATATTTTCAACACATGAAATTACAAAGGGGCTCATGTTTCCATGAAGAGCACTCTCTCTCTCCCTCTCTCTCTCTCTTTTTTTTTTTTTTTTTACAGAGACTCACTCTGTCACCCAGTCTGGAGTGCAGTCGTGCAATCTCGGCTCACTGCAACCTCCGCCTCCCAAGTTTCAGCAATTCTTCTGTCTCAGCCTCCTGAGTAGCTGGGGCTACAGGCTTGGGCCACCATTCCCCGCTAATTTTTTTGTAAGTTTAGTAGAGACGGATTTTCACCAGGTTCGCCAGGCTGGTTTTGAACTCCTGACCTCAAATAATCCACCTGCCTCATCCTCCCAAAGTGTTGAAATTACAGGTGCGAGGCACCACAGCTGACCTGTAAAGACCTCTTAAAAATTAGTTAAAAAACAAACAAAACAGATAAAGAGAAAGAAGAAACATCCACTCAGTTAAAAAAAAAAAAAAGAAAAAGAAAAGAAAAGAAAAAAAGGCAAAAGACATTATTTTACAGGTCTAGTGCCCTGTGCCCCTCACTGTAATGGGGGTGGATATGGGCTTCACAGGACATGAAATTCATCAAACAGTTGCTGGTTGAAGGTGGGAAAATCTTGCGGGACCGACCTCAAGAGCAGATCCTGTGGTGCACTGTTTCATCCTGTAGCCCTGGAAAGAAAACCTGGCTGTGCTGTGCTTTATGTTTGCCTGCACTGGCCCTGTTCAGAGGCCTGAGCACGCATGGACACCTAAGTCTGCCCAAACTTTCCCCATCCCAATATTCTCTGTGGTATTGAGCATGACACCCTGTCTTCACTGAGCATGTGCTCATACAGTTTTGTAGCCAACTCTTTATTTTACAACAGGAAGACTGAGACCTCCCAAAAAGGCAAAGACTGGTCCAGATCCCACAAATTGGGCAAAGCACAGAGTATTAGGGAGGGATCCAGCTTCCTAGGCCTTGCATGCACCCCACCCATCAGGTTTGCTTTGGAAATGAGAGCCCATGAGTCCTGGAAAACCCTGTGCTCTACTTTCTACCTGGGCTTTCTACTCTTCAATGTTGTCACATAGGCGTGCAGGCATGCACACACAAACACATCACACACACACACACACACACACAGGCTTCTAAATTGGAGATCTAAAGTGGAGATTCTAAAGTGAGGTTAGGGAAGAGGAAACCAAAGAAGTGACAAAAGGGGAAGAAACAGTAGATGCAGCTTTGCCATGAGGCAGAGGCATCCACTCCCCCAGCTACATGACCAGGAGCTGACAGCATGCGATGAAGGATCCTCCAGGTTCCCTGGGTTCTTCCAAGCCTGGGGACTTTCCCAGCTGTTTCAAGAGGACAGGACTGGGGTTGTGACTCCCACTTCTGTGGGCACCTGGAACTAAAATGAGCTATGCCCTCCACCCACCACCCCGTGTGATATAAAGACAGGCTACGGGAAAGAAAGCCTTTGTTTTCTCCCTCATAAATAGGGGTACTGAGAAGGAATAATACCAAGGATTCTAGATACTCATAGGTGTCTGCCGCCCTTGGCTTTTCATTGGTAAATCACTGTGCTTTGAGACTCTGGGAAGAGGCTTTTCAGTTTCTAGAGGTCCTTCAGAGAAGAGAGAGGCCTAGAGACTTGGGCGGATGAGGACTTGGAATAAAGCACAATGTGACAATGCACTGGGCTCTGGAGTGTGGGGCCCAGAAAAAATACTAGTTTTTTGGGCTGTCCTTGAGGTCCTCATTCGGAAGTGGAAGAAAATAATGTCGCCGAATGCTGTTAAAATGTTTAATGAGTGCACAGCACACTCAAAGAGGCTGAGGAAAATAGGAATCAAGGGAGGCTTCCGAGGTCACTTTTATGGCCCTTGGAGCCTTCAGATACTGCTCCTTTTCCCAGGGGTCCCTGAAGAGCCACTGCCTTGAGAATTCCCCAGTGCAGGTACCTGTTTTGTGATGCTTCTGCCTGGGACTACAGTGCTAGCGGAGGTCTCTAGGTGGCTGCAGACCCCGTGTTTCTTGTGCCCGCTGGACTTGACTGGAGTAGCTGGAGCCGTGGGAGAGACAGGCTGAGGGCCTGCAGCTCCTGTTATCATTCTTGATCTCCACATTATTGGGTGACCGAAAGCAGGAAGGACTTTGTGATTTTCCATGTTATTTTACTCAGCGACTCTTCCCCTAGCACTCACCCTGTGGCAGCTACCTTGGTAGGTTCACCATGTGGTACCAAAAACGATTATGTTATCCCTGCATCCCCGCGGGGAGCCTACAGTCTGAGGACGGCAGGACAAAAACACTAAAGCAAGTACATGCGAAAGAAAAGAGCATTTTATAATGGAAATAAAGTAGAATGTTGGGAGGGAGGGCTGGGGAGAGGTTGCCTGGAGGAGACATGAATGCCTCCCTGAGGTGACATTATGTTGTGACGAGAATGACAACTGCGCAGGTGTGGAAAGTGTGTCAGGGAAAAGCCACTCTTTGTGAAAAGACTCAGAGGCACAAGTCAGTTTAGCAGAGGAGGTTATAAAGGGACAAGTGTGGCTGTAGGCAGCCTGAGAAAGAAAGGAAAAGAGGGGAGGGTGTATCCTGGGGCCTGAAAGAGGAGATTAGTCATTTGCCGCTCTCTGACAACATTGCCCTGAATTTTAGCACATTTTGACAACAAATACTATCTCACAATTTTTGTGAATCAGAATCTCGATATAGCTTAGTTGGGTGCCTCTGCCTCAAGGTCCCCTATGAGGCTGGGGCTGTGATTTCAACTGAAGCTGGATTTGGGGAGAGATCAGCCTCCAATCTGCCTCATGGAAATTGGCAGGATTCAGTGTGAACTGAGAACACCAGTTTCTTCCTGTTGATTGGCCTGGGCAGTTCCTCAGTTCTCTATCATGTGGGTCTGTGCCTAGAGCATCTTAGGACACTGGAGATCGCTTCCTCATCTTGAAGAATACAATAGAGAGATGGAAAATGAAAGAGATAGACAGACATATGCACAGAAAAAGAGAAAGGGAGACAGAGAGATTGAGAGACGAAACACAGGACAGAGCAAGTGGGAGGAAAATAATAGCTGTTTTGGAAATATAACTTTGGAAGTTGCAGTAGACTATGTGATTCCCCACCATATTCACATTCCAGAACATTAATCCCCAGTTTAATGGCCTTAGCAGGTCAGAGGTAATTAAGTCCTAAGCATGAGGCCCTCGTGGTAGAGATTACTGGCTTTGTAAAAGAAACCGCAGAAGGCTGTCTGTCCTTCTCTCTGCTAAATGAGAATACAACCTGAAGTCTGGAGTTCGAAACTCAGAAGAGAGTCCTTACCAGACCACAACCATGCTGGAAGCCAATCTCAAATTTCTAGCCTCCAGAACTAAAGTCTTTTGTTTATAAGTTGCCTAGTCTATGTTTTTTGGTATAGAAGCCTGAACTAAGTCAGAAGTGATAACCTATCACATTTGTTGTATTCTCTTTGACAGAAACTAGAACCAGGTCCCCAAAGAGTTCAACCAACGACTAGCAGAAATTCTTCAGTTTGCAGAATGACAGATAAGAAAAGATAGAACTTGTTGAAAGAATGAAATTTATTCCACTTATGAGACTTCTAAAAAGTGGCTAAAATTGGTTGGAACCAATATGGTCAACTGGAGTCTGTGTGAAATAAGCTCACTGATGTAAGAGCCCAAATTTCCATCACATGTTTTGTACTAACTGTCCCCAAATTTGCACATGACCTGTGTGTAGCAGGAAAAGATGGCTGTTCATGCCCAGTGACTTTCCATACATTTTTCCTTTCAGCAATTCCCTGCTAAACAAGAAGCCACCTCTTAAACCTTTCTGAGAATATTACTACCTTTAAGTAAGCACAGGGAAAGAGGCTTCAGCTGGAATCCAATGTCTTTGTTGGAAACCCGGTGTTATAGTACCGGCTTCTGAGGCACTGAGCGGTGAGCTGCGTTTTTAAATAACAGAGTCACTCACAACTTAGTGTTGTTGTGAGACTTTGTTGGGGGTGCCCACCACATAGGCTGAGATGAAGCATATACATGTGATTCCAAATATAATGCACAGCACTGGAATATTTAATGCCAGAATACAGTATCTGATTTTCTTTTGATTTCAACCTCTTCTGCTGTAGAATGGAAAAATAAGGCCATATATATAAAATATATATCTTTTATGTATACAGATATATGAAATATATATCTTTTATACATAAAGGTGTATATGTATAAGTTTATATATTATATATAATATATAAATATAAATTATATATACATAGTATATATATTTTTTTGAGACACAGTCTCGCTATGTCACCCAGGCTGGAGTGCAGAGGCATGATCAAGGCTCAATGTAATCTCTGCTTCCTTGGCTCAGGTGATTCTTACACCTCAGCCTCCTGAGTGGCTGGGATTACAGGCAAGCATCAACACATCTGGCTAATTTTTGCATTTTTAGTGGAGAAGGGTTTTTGCCATGCTGGCCATGGCTGGTTTCAAACCCCTGGCCTTAAGTGTTCCACCCATCTTGGTCTACCAATCTGCTAAGATTACAGGCAAGAGCAACTACATCCAACTGATTTTGATTCATTCTATCTCATATATCGCCAATGACTCTTTCTGGAAGTTGATGCTAGCCTAATCCCATTATGCATACTTCAGGGCTGGGGAGAACTGAAGCACACAGTCATTTTCATATGGTCACAGAAATGAAAAGGAAAAGAAGATTTTAATCCAACTCTGTTCTCTCAAACCTGGGGCCCTGGCTGTATTTAGATCTTTTTGGGGAGTAAGAGGCATAATTGTGTTTGCATAACTGTTTACAGGAAAAGAGTTGACATGGGAGATGAGGGTGAGCAATCAGCAGCCCAGTAGGGACTTTGCATAGATTTATGGAGGAAAAGGGCTCAGGGGATAAAACCTTGAAGAAGTTAACAGACTTCCCTTGTGACAGAACCTAACAGAATTTAGAACTTTGGGAAACAGAAACCCACATTCTAGAGAGAGCCCTCTATCTAGCTAATTTCATGGGAGATGCTTGAGAGAGTACTGTGTTCTCATTGTGTGCTATATTCCTAAGCTGTTGCCTGAGAAAGGTTCAAAGTGAGAGACTTTTCTGACCATATACATATTGGCTCAGCCCACATCCTTGATACCACTGGCCATTCAACAAGAGGCAAACAGAGGTAACACAGTGAAGCCCAGGTCAGGTCCGTCCATGCCAGGCCACCCGTGTCATCTAATCTGGGCAACCCGACCCTGTCTACCATTACCATGTGTTGCAGGGGGAGCAGGAAAGGAGGGGGCTCTTTCTCACAGGGGCAGGCTGTAAGGCATTGGAACCCTGGCGGCTATGTCATGTTCATACCCAGGTCATGGCTGGTGGAATAAAAAGTTGAGCATTGTGGACCAAGTGTGTCTACTCAGATGTGAATCCCAAGGCCTTAAGCTGTCCTCGGGTTTCCTCATTGGCTGGGGGTCTATGCAGATACTCCTATGTTCCTGATCTAGGAAACAGAATTTCTAATGGAGATGTCACCTGGTGGTAAAAACAAAGGAGATAATTAATTTTTTTTCTTTTTTCTTTTTTTTTTTTTCCTGCTTCACTGCTGGGAACACTCTCTGTAGAGTTTCATTAAAATCATTGAGCAGATATTTGATGGGTTCAAGTCCCCCATCTCCTTGGACAACTGGCAGGTTCACCACACCCCCAAGCATGGCATACAGTGAGTTACGGTGAGAGCAGGCACATGGGGGTCTCTACAGACAGGGGTCTGACAAAACCAGGATGGGCCCAGGATCCAGACCCAAATATGGAATTTCTCTGGGCTCTCTCTTAGGGGATTTCCATGAGTGACCCAAAGATGTGCCTCCCAAAAATCTAGCCTTAACTAGTCCCAAAGGCAGCTTGGTTAAGTGTAAAGTCCCTTTTTACATTCTTGTAGAAATATCAGAGAAGGCCTTTGTGTTGTTTTTACTTTACACTAGGCTGTATTTATTCATGTTTCTACAGTTTGTATGGTTTTAATTTTTCCCCCCTGGTATCACCTGTAGCAGGCAGGTTCACGGCACTGCCAGACCTTCCCCAAGACTTCAAAGCCACCACTATCACTAATACTCTAGAAAAATAAGGAAGAGTTTACATGAAAAGGGGGTTATATTGTTCCCTGCATTTGTCTGCAACGTGTCATCTCAGAGAACACATCCCTCTAGCCCATCAGGGCAGAAGTGGTGCCCTCACATCTCTTTGTAATGTTCTATAATGGGGGTCACTTCCCAGAGTGGTTTAGCCTTTCAGTGACTATTATTTCTGATCAAAATGGAATAAAACTAGAAATGAATAACAGAAGAAAACAAAAATAGCAACATATATATGGAAATTAAACAACTCACTTTTGAGCATGCTCATGTTTAAGGGTTGTAAGACTTGATATTATGAAGAATGCTCATGATGCCTAAAGCGAGTTACAGATTCAATGCAATCCCTTTTAAATTAGCAATGTTTTTGAAATAGAAAAAGGAACCAACAAATTATATGGAATGTCAAGCGACCATAAAGAGCCCAAAAATGTTTTAAAAAAAAACAATGTTAGCGGCCTCAATTTTCTGATTTCAAAGCACATTACAAAGCAACAGCAATGAAAACAGTTTGTTTCTAGCATAAAGACAGACAATTTTTCCAATAAAACAGAAGGTAGCACACATGTAAACCTCATACATATGAGCAAATAGCTATTTGCATACCAATATTCATTGCAGCATTATTCACAAAGGCCAATAGGTGAAAGCAACACAAACTTTCCTCATAGAATGAATAAATAAATATAATTTGTAATACAAAAGTAATGGAATATTACTCAGCTTTTAAAGGCAGAAAATCTTGTACCATCCACAATAAAGAGAAATCTTGAGAACATGATGCTAAGTAAAATTAGTCACAATAAAACAGATACTCTATGATTCTACTTATATGTAATATCTAAAGTATTGAAACTTAGAAACAGAAAATAGAATGATTTTTATCAGGAGCCAGGTTGTAAGGAAAATGGGTAGTTGTCATTTCATGTGTCCTGAGTTTCAGTTTTGCAAAAGAAAAAAGTTTTACAAATATGTTGCAAAGCAATGTAAATACATTAACATGACTGAACTGTATAAGAAAAAATATTAAAGATTCTAAATTTTATGTTATGTATTTTTACCACAATCGAAATTAAAAATGACACCCAAGGGCCAAGAGAGATGGCTCATGCCTGTAATCTCAGCACTCTGGGAGGCTGAGGCATGCAGATTACTTGAGGCCATGAGTTCAAGACCAGCCTGGCCAACATGGTGAAACCCCAGCTCTATGAAAAACACAAAAATTAACCAGGCGTGGTAGTGCACACTTTTAATGCCAGCTACTCAAGAGGCAGCAGCTGGAGAATTGCTTTAACCTGGGAGGTGGAGGTTGCAGTGAGCCAAGATTGTGCCACTGCACTTTGGCGACAGGGTGAGAGTCTGTCAAAAAATAAATAAGTAAAGACACCTGAAGAGAGAGAGTTACAAAGTTTTTGAAAAATTATCTTCAAATCGCATAAGTCTTTCTTTCACACTAGGATAATATAAACAATAGATGTTGAAATTAAGACAATTTCCATGATTACTCACTTAGACAGAATCAATTATTGTCCATCAAACAAGAAGAAAATACACAAGTCATAAACAAAATAGGGGCAATATTTATACAAGCAAACAAACAATTAAATCATTATATTAACAAAAGACCATAGGGATGCTTCATATTTTTTGCCTCACACTGTCTTAAGCTGTACAGATTTGAATATTGTCATAGAAAATTATATTATATAAATTCAAACTAAAAACAATAAACTGATGTAAGGTGCCCTACCCTAAAACATGAAACACAGAAATGCAAAATTGCAAAACAAACTTAAAAGAAACCTTCCCCGAATTCTTACTTGAATAATGTAATTCAAAATCATAATAAATAGGTAGAAAGTAAAAACACAATTAACTGCTGTGAGACAGCCTACTCTAAAAAATACAGAAACATAAATTCTAAAACATAATTAAGAGAAACTTTGATCTATAAAATCCTGAATAAACATAGTGTCCAACTGAAAAAGAATCCTAGGTAACTACAATTTTCAACTCTTCCTTTGAATCCATAAAAAGTATAAATTTTGAATTACTTGGATACAATTAGGGCAACAACATTTCAAAGAAACCATATTATAATTATTAAAAAGAGATGTGATGAGAAAGTTTTAAGGAATAAAAATTTAAGTAATACTAGAGAAAGTTTTAAATTATGCTACTGATGCATTGCTTCTTTCCTTACACAAAAGGGTAAGGCTGTAATCTAGCCTTTAATAGAAAGGTCTTACATTTTTACATATGGTAACAATATAAATATTGTAAATACAGTATAAAACATTGACAGATAAAATAAAAACTGGAAATAAATTGTACTATTAGTCAAATAAAAGTTGGGAAAACTGGAAGAAAATGCTAATAGTAATATTGTGCCTAGAGTCAATTAAACATACAAGCCAAATATTTTAATAATTAATTATATAATTGATACATAACATATACATTTGAGCATGCTGTTTTACAACTTCTCAAACTGAAATTACAGAAAAATGTGACACATGATAATTCAGAAAGTGAAAACACAGTCATAGTAATCTTCATATTAAAGAAAACAGAATCATAAAATAATAAGTGAGAAATAAGGTAATAATTGTGAATTCAATATATGTTGAACAATATTCTAATTTCTCTTACGGAAAAAGTTTTTGTAAGAAATCTGTAAAATGAGTACTTACAATAAACCATCCTACAGTAGAGGCTGTTGGCATACAGTGTTTAAATTTCTATGATTAGGTCCTACTAAGGAAAAGAAAATTTTAAAATAAAATAATTAGATTTTCCTATTTAATAAGATAATTTTTGCCTATAAAGTTTTTCAGTCTAATTTTTTTTGTAGAATTAGGTTTTAGCCTTCATAAAACTTGACATTATGAAGCAGAAAACAGGTGTCATCTGTCTCTGTTGTTCCTGGAATTTCTAACCCAAATGCCAATTCCTCCACAACTCCCCTCACACACTTCTGAATTGAAGCACAACAGATTTATTAAAAATGGCATAACAGCGGTCTCCAGAAATGTGCAGAGATTTTCCCAGATCCCTAAAAGCAATGACAAACTATTCAGATCATTTAGGTTCTCACAAGATTCTGGGAGGACTTCGGCTTTCAGTGTGAATTCACTGGAAGATTCTAAGAGAGAGGAAGAGAGAGAGAATGTGTGTGTGTGTGTGTGTGTGTGTGTGTGTGTGTGTGTGTGTGTTGAAATCAGAACCCCACCTTATGTGTTTATTGTGGAATTTGGAAATGAAAGCCTAAAGCCCAAAATTAAAATCACACATAATAGCACGTTGCAAACTGTTTTCTGTGCTAGATGGGTCGTTCTAGGGTGTAGGACCCTGGTAACACCGTTTTCCCCTCCTTCCGGAAAGAGCTACTCACACTGCTCAAAGCCTGCATCCACATGTACCATGTCGAAGACCAGCTCAAGAGCCTGGACCCATATGCCACCTTCAGCAGGGTTGACTGCAGCTCCTTGTTCTTCCTGAGCATCTTCTCCAATGGTGACCTGAGAGTTGCGGGAGGCATTGGGGCCAGGATTGAACAGAGGAAAAAGGAGCATGGAGGCCAGGTGCTGAGGACCAGGCCATCTTACCTGGAGAGTTCTGGCCCTGAGACATCCAGACCAACATGACGTTTAGGTGCAGACAGCTGGCCCTGGGTGGCCCTGTGCTGATCACCGGCCTCGGCCCCTCAAACAGTGGGAAATGGAAGAATGGCTTGGAAATGGGCCCTGTCGACTGTGTGTCATCTGAGCACATTCTCCCAGGGGCCCAAGAAGGGCCATCGTGTCTCCAGAACCAGAACTGGAAGGTAAACTGTCAGGGGGGACAAGGAAGAGGGTCCTCAGTTGGGTGGAGGGTCTCACAGCAAGACGCCTGGCTTAATCAAACTTGGCCATTCCTGAAGCACGTTCAGTGACTAAAAGTGCCTAACATGAGCAGCTGGAACCCACTCCCTGAGAGCTGCAAGATCCATGGGGACCTCATGTACCTGTTTGTAATTACAGACAAGGACCAGCAGGCAGCATTACCGCATCCACATGGGGCTTTTGCTGGACACAGTAAGTCTCTGCCAGCCCCTCCCAGGCTCCTGGGATGCCACTTGTTCTGGATCTGTGGACAGATAACCAGGATACTTGCTCAGTGTCCATCCACTCCTTGTGGCCTGAAGCCTATCGCTCAACCCTAGCCCCACCAGACCTGCTTCCTAAGGCATTCCTCTTGCCAGAAGGAAAGGCAATGCCTTTGTCCCACAGCCCCTGCCTTGTGTCATGTCATGTGGGGGTATGGAATGAATCGGCAGCCGAAACTCCTGTCCTTCTGCCTGAGAATTCTATCTTCTCTGTCTGAGTTACCCTCTAGGGAGCTGTCAGTGGGAGAGAGAGCAGCTGTGGAAGAGAGTCCCACCTGCTTCTGTTTGACTTCAGGGCAGCCTCTCAGGGCAAGAACCCAGAGCAGGTGGAGGCCTCACAGAAGCCTGTGGCAGGGCTCTGGGCTTGATGGGCTGAGCATCTCCCTATCTGCTGTCTGCAATGGGGCCCAGAACCATCCATTCAAGAGGGTCACCACCATATTGCAGGTGTGCAGCTGGACTGTTCCCAAGGCAGAGGCTGCCATGGACTGCAAGCACACAGAGGATGTACACCTTGAGCGTGGACTATGAGGAGAACATTTTTGAAGAGGTGCATGCAGCCTGGCCCTGCCTTCACTGGGAACCCCCTTCCTTCTGGGTACTAGACAGAATTCTGTACACTTTCCTGGAGGCTCCATTCTGGTCTGTTCATTTGGAAGTTTCAGGCTGTCTGTGAGGAAGTAACAAAAGAGATGTCTCAAAGCAGGTTGTGGGGCACAGGCTGAGCCCTTGTCTCCCTCCCTAGTCCCTCTGCAGACACGGGGCTGGAAGAAGGACCTGTGGATAATGAGGGAACTGCTCTTCGAGAACCGGCCTGAGCAGCTGCTTCAAGAAAGAGCCACATTAAAGGTGCCTATAGCCCCTGATGAGGGAATGGCAGCCTCAGGCCCGCCTGCCATCTGTGAGCAGGTTTTCTTGCTAACAGGATGAAAGCAAAGAAAGCTGGAATGAGCCCAGCCCTCTCAGGCAGCTTGAAGGCTGTTGGGGCTCTTTCCAGGCCTTCTAGCCTTATGCTTTTTGGCAGGCCACTTAGGCACCTTTTTCCAGCCTCTGAGACTTCCATGCTCTGGAAGGAGAGGGTCCCACTTTTCACTAGGCTATGGGGCAGGCCCATCCAGCTCCCGGCTGCCACTAACAACCATGGGGCTCTCACCTGGGCACCCACTGCCCAAACATGGCCCTTCTAAGGCAGAAGATCATGTGTCTTGCAGTTTCAGCTTGCTAGGGCTTAAAAGTTATCAGTGCTGTTATTAAGATAGGGAAGTGAGAAAGGAAAACTTGCTGTAAAAGTTTCCCATAATCTTACCACGGAGATCATCAGCACAGATGACAGCACAGGTGGGGCTGCTGGGGAGGCTGAGGGAGAGTGTCCAGCCTGTTCTGCCAGCTGGTCCTTGCCAGGGGTGTCTCGTGACCCAGTCCCTTAGAGAAGCATGCAGATATCTTAGCAAGTATCTGGAAGGTGCAGATCAGGGCAACCCAGCACCACTGATGGTGGAGTGGGCCTACCTCCCATCAAGCTGTGTCTCCACAGCTGACCCTTGAAGCCAGGAGGTGATTTACAACATGTGCAAGGCAGTGAGCTCCATCAGCTGTGTGGCCTTCAACATTCACTTCAACTCGGACATCTCACCAGAAAGCAGTGGGGACTGGCCAATGCAGAAGCCTGCAAAGTGGAACAGAGCGTCATGGGGTGGGGGATGTGGGGCCTGCCTGCTCATCTGAGCACTGCTCCCTGAGGGTGTGATCTGCAGGCTTCCTGAAGGAGGGCTGTGAGCTCATCTGCGAGGCCCTGAGCCTGTGGAACATGGCTGAGGCCAAGCCCATGGGGATTTGTGTCTACTTGCACCTCCTTGCTCATCTCAGTACACTACAGGTGACTGTGCCGAGGTGGGCCTTGAGCATCCCCTGGGCTGTGTTAGCAAAGGGCTCTGGGCCTGGCCTGGCATTGAGGGATGGCAAATAAGGGGCCTGGGGTTGCATTGTCACCCCCTATGGTAGCATAAAATGAGAGAGTCCGACCTGCAGGACTGGAACCCTATCAAGGGGGTTAGGAGGCTGCTCACTTTCCCTCAGGGACCCATGTGGAGGAGCTGAGGGAGGTTAAGGAGACCCTAGGGACTCACTTGTTCTGTCTGGGCTTCCCTCTGCTCCATCGTTTGATGACCATTTTCTGGGAAGAGCTCAGGAACCTCCTGTGCTCTAGTGAGACGGGGCCTCCCCTCACAGGGTATTCTGAGACTGTGAGTGAGAAGCTAACACAGTGCCTTGCAATACTCACGGGAGCTGTCATCCTCTGTGACCATCACGTGGCCTTGTAGTGTTCAGACTGCCTGGCCTGCCTGGGGTTTGGTGAGGCTGTTTTGTGGTCAGCTGCTTTAGAAGCTCACTTTCTCTGCAATCAAACAGTGACTGTTTTCATGTCTGTTTATGGGTTTAAAAAATCCTAATATTTCCTTTATAGTAGTTTCAGCTTGCATGTGTTTATTTGTATAAATTTTAGTGGAATAAAGAGAGCTTAAGACAACAGCATTTTAAGGTCTTAATGAGGCATAGACTTTCATGTCACAACAGCTAATGTTGACCTCTGTTTGCTACCTTTGTGTAAAGTATACACATAAAGTACAGCCAGAGGTGACTAGAGCTGAGCTGCTTGGGCTTGCTTGCTGGCCTGCAGTCAGGTGGACTCTGGCTGCAAGGCGGTGCCCACCCTGGATCTACATCCCCCACTCTCTCTCCTTAGTCTCTGAGTAACCAACAAGGCCGTGCTAATGAGCGGGCGAGTGATGGGCATCGCGTACCCCAATACTATCTGGGAAGATTTGAATGCCAACTGGGCTGGAGCTGTTGGGATTAGGGGCTGTGGCTGCCTTGGCTTGTCATGGTGCCACCCACAGATGTGCCTGCCCTGTGCTGCTTCTCCAGCAACCGGCTGCCCATGGCCCTGAGCCTGTCACACCATGCTTGCTACCTCATGCTACTTGTGTTTGAAAAACCCATCCAGAGATGGCATTGCTGGATGTGAGTGCTGAAAAGGGGGCAGCACCTTTGTCCTGGGGGATTAGGAGCTGACCAGATTCCTCTTGACTCCCTCCCAGAACAAGAGGGGCAGGTGCTGCAATTAATGATGCCCCCCAGAAGATGTGTTTGCACTGGCTGAGGGAATACACGATGCAGAGACCTAAATGAAGACACGTGAATGGGGTGTGTGGGCATCAGTTAGCAACTGGGAAACAGGTGCCTCTCAGGCCTCTCGTGCTCCAGCAAGAGTGGAATATGCCTGTGCCCATGAGTGTAGACATCTGGAGTGTATACATTTGGCTGCTGCTTTTGCTGCCACTATCCCCAGGTCCAACCTGGCTTGAAGTCCAGGTTTTAAGTAAAAAAATAGGAGGCTTTTTGCCATACAGCTACTTGAGAGGCTGAGGTGAAAGCATCACTGGAGGCTAAGAGTTTGAGGCTGCAGTGACCCATGATTCAGCCACTGCACTGTCAGAGTGAGACCTGCGTGCACCCTTCTACAGATAATAGCTCTGGGGCATTTGGGGATCCCTACAGTCCGGGACATCTCCCTGTCCCCTGCTGCCTGTGCTTCTTCCCTTGCCTGCTGTCAGAGCCTAACATGGAGGAGGAGGTTGCTGCCCTGTGAGCCTGAGGGAGCTGTGTCTGACTGGGACTTCTGTCTGGGGTTTTGTGAAGAGCTACTTATGAGTATGGTCTGTACAGATACCTTGTTTCAAAGAAAGTGAGCATGAGCTAGCAAGTGTAGCCACCCCACAGCTGATAAACAACTTTGTCTTGTTTTTAAATCATCAATCTTCATTTCACATTGGAATAAAGTAATTGAAGCCTGCTACCCCAGCCTCGCCCGTGTGTTCTGTAACCCAGACTCATTTCGTTGTGTGGGCTGTTGTCAGAAATGTTATAAAAAAAATTACGCATAAATAATATCAAATGTAAAATTATGCTTATAATGTCACTTGAGTGGGTGGTAAGAGGGTAGAGTCACAGGAAATCTGTTGGGGTTTACACCCCTGATACTTACCAAGCTCATGAGAGTGTGGCAGAGGTGATCATCACCTGACATTTGTGGCAGAAGAGAAAAGTCCAGCCTGAAGGCCAGGTAAGGGAGAGGTGCCAGGTTGTGGGGCCAGGCCCTGCGCATGCTGGGCCTGTTATGTCACTGAACATCTAACTGCCCGGGAACCGGCTCTTTTCACATCATCTGAGGTAAGAGGATGGAGAAGCACTCTCCAGAAGTCACACTGCGCTGGGAGAATAGAGGAGAGCCTACAACTCACCATCCTAAGGTAGGTTTTACATTGAGCTGAACTGTCTTCGAGAGCTAATGAGATGGGAGGAAGACAGTCCCCCAGGTGCACCTGACAGCCAGAGCCTATGAAGTTAGGGGGGTTGTGTGGGGGTGGCCTGTTCCTATGAGAAGAGGAGCTTAAAGCTACTAAAGCTGGTGGCTGCTGCTCTGCCATCCCTCTACAGAGCAGGCAGGTCCTCAGCTGCATGTATAGCTGAATGTCTTTTGGAGTGTTAGAGAGTCCTCTATGTCTTAGAAATTTTGAAAAGAAAAACAAATCTCAATTTTAATGTTGATTAGTTTCTCTGAGCCAGTTGGGAAAAAGATGTCCTTCACCTCAAAGATTTAAGTGACACCGAAGGGTAGCCACCAGTGTCTCGGCCACTGAAGCCTCATGCATGCTCTCACTACCAGTTTGATTTGCAGCCCCATAGTTGTGTTGTACTACATATTCTTTCCTCTGGCCTTGTCCAGTGAACACGGTTCACATGGCTAACACCACTTCTTGAGATGCGAGCACCATGCAAAGCTGAGAACGGATTGGGTTTTGTGACGATTGTGCCTCCTCCTCACCTGAGAGGCCCATTTTTCCTGGTTGATTCATTAAGTGTATTAGTGCTGTCAGTCGCCTCTGGACAATTGAAATGACAAGTGGCTGTTGATTCATAAAGAAAATGAAGGCTTTAGATGTGAAACCCTCGTTTTCTCTTGTCCTTCTCTTAGGTGAAAGATTTTATTTTTTTCAAAAGGCTACATACTGGTATCCCAGCAGGTGTAGTGTGAGAACTGGCATATGTTAGGCTATGGTGTCAGTGTGGATGGGCAATTCTTCAAGATGGAAAACCAAGTCTCACTGAGTTGCTGGAGCCACAGTGACCTTTCTCCACATCCCCCACCATGGGCTTTCACTTTTCTCCTGTGCTTGAATTTTTTTCACATACAAATTCTTTATACACACACACAGACAGACACACACATATCTCACTCTGTCAATGCAGTGGCTGAATCATGGGTCACTGCATCTTCAAATTCTTAGGCTCCAGTGATGCTTTCAAATCAGCCTCTCAAGTAGCTGGGACTACAGGCATGCAAAGCTACACCCAGACAATTTTTAAATATTTTTCTAGAGACTGAGCCTACTTATGTTGCTCAGACTCGTCTTGAACTCCTGGGATCAAGCGATCATCCCACCTTGGCCACCCAAAGTGTTTAGATTACAGGTATGAGCTAGCACTCTCAGCAAAAATATATTTTAAAGAACCGTTACAACCAAATTATGAGTTATCATTATGCCACTGCCCTCCAGCCTGGGCACCAGAGCAAGACCTTGTATCCAAAAACTAAGCAAAACTAAGCAAGAACAAAAAAAAAACCTTATAACTAAATTAAACTTTGAAGATTGTGTCATCTGTGTCCTTCCCTGCCCTCCAAGCTATCAATGTTAAATATAATGGTTATTGAGAAAATGGTTAGATATTATTAAGAAATTTCTATATATCCTCCAGCTGAGAATAGGTATTCTGATGTGGCCCAAATATTTTCTCACCGCTACCTTCAGGGTCTAAACTAGCAAGTCAGGACACCTGCAGAGGACAGTTGACCATTTTCAAATAGAAAGAGAAATACCCCGTTCATGAGAGTAATCCAGTGATTTTCAAAAAGACAAGACACACTGACATCCAGCGCAGTCAGGGCACAATTACCTTGGAAAAATCACCTCACACAGAATGGTTGAGGAGACTTTCTAAGGTGAGCAAATTTGGGAAACATAATCCTTTCTTATTTATTTCCAGCCCCCGCTGCCCCCCTGATTCCTAATGGTCACACAACAGTGTGGTCAGCAGTGGGGTGCAGTGTTGTGAGAGAGGGGCTCAGGGATGGGATGAAGGTCTTTACCGCGTTACAAAAATGCAGGTTAAAAAGTTGCTAAAAAGATGTCTAAATATTCTAATTCGTACTGTTACATAGCTGCTAAGATGCATTATACAACAGACCCAGGTAAGGGAAAGAGCACGTGCATTTCAAGTCTCAGCTCACGTCTGAATTAGCTGTGATACTCTGGGCACGTGACCCCAAATATAGGAGCCTGTTTGCCTGTCAACCCAAAACAATCCTAAGCAAAAACAACAAAGCTTGAGGCATCCTGCTACCCGACTTCAAACTATACTACAAGGCTACAGTAACCAAAACAGCACAGTACTGATACCAAAACAGATATATAGACAAATGGAACAGAACAGAGGCCTCAGAAATAACATCACACATCTACAACCATCTGATCTCCGACAAACCTGACAAAAACAAGCAATGGGGAAAGATTTCCTACTTACCAAATGGTGCTGAAAGAACTGGCTAGCCACATTCAGAAAACAGAAATTGTACCCCTTCCTTACACCTTATGCAAACATTATCTTAAGATGGATTAAAGTCTTAAATGTAAAACACCAAACCATAAAAACCCTAGAAGAAAACCTAGGCAATACCATTCAGGACATAGGCATGAGCAAAGACTTCATGAATAAAATACCAAAAGCAATCACAACAAAAGCTAAAATTGACAAATGAGATCTAACTAAACTAACGAGCTTCTGCACAGCAAAAGAAGCTATCACCAGAGTGACCAGGCAACCTACAGAGTGAAAGAAAATTTTTGCACTCTATCCATGTGTCAGAGGTCTAATATCCAGAATCTACAAAGAACTTAAACAAATTCACACACACACAAAAAAAAACCATCAAAAAGTGGGCACAGAATATAAACAGACTCTTTTCAAAAGAAGATATTTGGCTGGGCGCGGTTGATCAAGTCTGTAATCCCAGCACTTTCAGCCGTGGAGGCAGGTGGATCATGAGGTCAGGTGTTCAAGACCAGCCTGGGCCGCATGGCGACACCGCATTTCTACTAAAAACACAAAAAATTAGTAGGATGTGTTGGCGGGTGACCTGTAATCCCAGCTTCTGGGGAGGCTAAGGCAGGAGAATCACTTGAACCTGGGTGGCAGATGTTGCAGTGAGCCGAGATCCTTCCACTGCACTCCAGCCTGGGTGACAGAGCAAGACTCCATCTTAAAAATAATAATAATAAGTAAAATAAATAGAAAAAGAAGAAGGAGAAGGAGAAGAAGAAGAAGAAGAAGAAGAAGAAGAAGAAAAGAAGAAGAAGAAGAAGAAGAAGAAGAAGAAGAAGAAGAAGAAGAAGAAGAAGAAGAAGAAGAAGGGGACCTTTATGTGGTCAACAAACACAAAAAAGAGAAAAGCTCATCATCACTGGAGACTAGAGAAATGCAAATCAAAACCACAATGGGATACCTTCTCACACCATGTTGAATGGCAGTTATTAAAAAGTTAGGAAACAACAGATGCTGGTGAGGCTGTGGAGGAATAGAAACACTTTTACACTGCTGGAGGGAGTGTAAATTAGTTCAACCATTATGGAAGACAGTGTGGTGATTCCTCAAGGATCTAGAACCAGAAATACCATTTGATCCAGCAATCTCATTACTGGGTATATACCCAAAGGAATATAAATCATTCTAGCATAAAGACACATGCACTCATATGTCTATTGCACCACTGTTTGCAATAGCAAAGACTTGGAACCAACCCTAATGCCCATCATTGATAGATTGGAAAAAGAAAATGTGGCACATATACACCATGAAATAATATGCAGCCATAAAAAGAATGAGTTCATGTCCTTTGCAGGGACGTGGATGAAGCTGGGAACCATTAACCTCAGCAAACTAACACGGGAACAGGAAAGCAAACACCATATGTTCTCACTCATATGTGGGAGTTGAAAAATGAGAACACATGGACACCTGGAGCCAAAGATCACACACTAAGGCCTGTTAAGGGGTTGAGGTCAAGGGGAGGGAGAAAATTAGGACAAATACCTAATGCATATGGGGCTTAAAACCTAGATGGCAGGTTGATAGGTGCAGCAAACCACCATGGCACATGTAAAACTATGTAACAAACCTGCACGTTCTGCACATGTATTCCAGAACTTAAAAACAAACTAACAAAAGTGCACTAAGTCTGAGGGGGAGTGGGGGTAAGGGCAGGAGTCAGGCGAGGGTGGGTGCGTCCTGGAGTTTTATCCAGTCATTGACACTGATGTGGGAACCGCCCAATCAGGCGCGCGGTGGCAGAGGAGAGGAAAGGAGGGCGTGGCTTCCTGCATTTGGCGGGATCTGTGTCTCTCGCTGGTGCTGGCACAGGAGCTTGGGATCTGTCTCCTCTTTCGCCTCCTGCACCTTGAGAGCCCTGGGCTACTCTGTCACAGCCCCTGTTGCCCTGCGATCTGTAGGTCCTTGGGGACGCATAGTTAAGGTGCCAGGACATCCTGGAAGCTGGGAAATGGTGAGTATACGGGGTTCGCCATCCCGAGAGGGGAGAACAGACTGTGAAACCGGCAGGACCGGCCTCCCCACGGTTAGCTCCGAGTCTCCCGCAGCTTGGCCCTCAGTCCCCTGTGGCTGCAAGATGGCCGCTGGGCCAGCAGCGAGGACCCCCACGTCCCGTCCGGCCCATCCGGTCCTGTCCCTGGGCAGCGCCCTGCTCTGCGCCCACAGCCATGAGTATTTCCCAAATTGTTCAGGGAGGCCAGATGGGTCATCAGGGAAAAACCGCGAGTGGGTGTTTGCGTGGGAGGAGCTGCGGCCCGTGGGGTCCACAGTCTCTCGTGTTAAAAATTAACGGGAGTCTATGTTAAAAGGTTCATCAGTTTATCTGAACAAAGAGTGATTGGTGAAATGGAAAGCACCCAGCCATGATTTCTGGTCCACCAGAGGGGCATAAAGGAAAGGCTTTCATAAGATGCATGAGAAAGCAACCCAAATTCAAGAATTGGTTCCAGTTATATGGTAGCCTTATTTGAACTATCCAGATGGAAATGTCCTGGTTACATATTCAGAGGTTAATTGCATGTTTGTCATGGGTTAAACCTGCATTTTGCTTCAGGCTAAGATAGTGTTTTATAGGAAATATATTTGAGTTAGGTTTTAGATTTTTTTTTGTTTGTTTTTTGTTTTTTACCTATGAACACAGGGCACTAGAGCCACTTTAGACTAATTTTCTGATCTTTAATTATTTTAACACTCCAGAGGAGGACTGGTTTTCTCCTGTGTTTTTTTAATGTATGGCAAGTGGAACCTCTAATCGACCACCCTGTTTTTCATCCTAACTCAGGCTTGCAGTAAAATTATCAGTTCCCACTTTCTTTGCTGCATTCTCAAACGCAACACATGAGACCAGCTTTCCCTTGCCAATTTACAATGCTGTTAACTATATGTCCTTTATTATACATTTCGTTAAAGTTTTCTATTATTGGGTTTCTTTCTACTTCTCCCTACAGTTCTGGCAATATTTGCTTTTTATATTTAGAAGCCTCCCTTTTGGGTGCATAAATATATAAAGCTATATTCTCTTGAGAAATTAACCTCTATTATTGTATGGTAAACTCATTTCATTCTTGTGAGAGACATTGCTAGAAAGTCTATTTTGTCTAATTTAAGCATTACCATTTCACTCCTTTGGTTATTATTTGCATGGAATATCATTTTCTATCCTTTCACTTTTAGCCTATGCTCTTAATTCATAATTGAGTCTCTTGTAAGCAGCATATTATGAGGTTTAAAAGATTAATTTATCCACTCTGTCTGCTTTAGTCTCTTTTGGCTGCTATAACAGAATATCACACACTGGTAATTAATAAAGAATAGAATTTTATTTGACTCATGATTCTGGAGGCTGGGAAGCCAAAACAACATTATACTGGTATATGTTGAAGGTCTAGTTGCTGGATAATAACATACACAAAGATGTGAGGGAGAGAGAGCTTTTTTTTTTTAATATATAACAGATCCATTCTTGTTATAATTAGCCCATTCCCATAATAAGAACGTTAATCCATTCATGAGGGCAGAGTGCTTATAGCTTAATTAATTTTTAAAGGTTCCACCTGTTAATTCTAACATGTTGGCTATTAAATTTTATCCTAAATTTTGGAGATGACATTCAGTGTACAGCAGTATCTGTTTAGTAGATACTTTAATCTTTTTATTTGTAAGGTAGTGATAGGTAAGCAGTTACTATTGTACATTTGTAGTTTTCTGTCCATTTTAAGTTTGCTTCTTTTTTTTCTGGTTCTGTCTTTCCTGTGGTATTGTTCATTTTTGTTGAGACAAAGTTATGCTTTCTTGCTCAGACTGAAGTGCAGTGGCATATCACAGCTCACTGTAGCCTTAACCTCCTGGGCTCAAATAATCGTCCCACCTTAGCCACCCAAGTAGCTTGGACTGCAGACATGTACCACAACACCCAAGGAGATTTGATTCTTCCACCTTGGCCTCCCAAAGTGTTGGAATTATAAGCAGGAGACACCATATCCAATGTGTAATTTTTGTTGTTTGTGTATGCTTTAATTACTTTCTCTTTTTCTTTACTATTTTTTTTTCCTACTGGTTATCATGAGACTTATGTAAAACATCTTGTATTTTAATAGTCTAGTTTAAGATGATAACAATTTATAGTATTCTGAAATTCAGTATGTATTTACCATTTTAGTGACATTTATACTTTAGTATTTTTCATATTGTTAGTTAGCATTTCATCATATCAATGTGAAGATTTCTTCCAGACCATGGCTGGAGAAGGAAAGAAGGTGTGTTTTGCCTGATTCAGGGACTATAGAGAGAACCAAGTTCTGCAGGCCTGTCATCTAAGTCTCAGGTGAGTATGAATTCTCTTGTGTTTTCCACAGACTGTTGCAGTGTCAGGACCAAGGTCAAATGAGTTATAGCCAAGTCTACAGTAAGATGTGGCAGTATTCTGTTTTGAAGCGAGGACCATGATTGGCAAGCTTGCCACTTGGTCAAGTGCTTACCCTCTAAAGATGTCTTCCTTGGTCTTTGCCTCCAGCTGGGTGTCACAAACTCTGAACTGGATTCCAAGGCTTTCATGAATGCACTTATGTTTGCTGTGGCAGCTGCATTATGTCGTGGGGGATGTGGATGCAGAACCTCCCATTCTGTCGTCTTGCTTATGTTACTCTCCTTTATGTTTCACTTTCTCAAATGAATGTCAAGCAGGTGATTTTCAGATTCAAAAGTTCTAAAATAAATTGCTCAAATTTACACATTATGTAAGCTGTTAATAAAATTTCTTGTAGGTGCTACATATTTATTAAAATTTTTGGTTGTAATTTTAAGCTCACTGTAGGCAGAAAGGAATCATTAAGATTTCTATTCTTTTTTAGTCTGTATCTAAATGACCATATATTTTAATTCCAAATATTTACTTTATACTTCAGTAATGCTCATTGTATTTTGCAAAATTTATATTGTTCTTTTATTTGAAAATATAAGGCTTTTTTTAGCTCCTGAAATCTATATTATAGTCATATAGTTTTATTATAGTATTTGATAAGAAGAGCAGCAACATATTGAGAACAGAATAAAATTCTGCTGTCTTTTTAATGATTATTTATTAAATTCTTCTCATTAAAGCCTATTATTAATGATTGTAATGTATTTACTGTATAATTTTACTGCAATTTATTAAATGCCAATGACTTCTAATGTCTGCTTTTCATGACTGCACACAGTTTAAAGCTGTAGATATCTAAAGGGTTATTTTTCAGCCCGGCACGGTGGCTCATGCCTGTAATCCCAGCACTTTGGGAGGCCAAGGTGGGTGGATCACGAGGTCAGGAGATC
>NC_000021.9:5443558-5449012 GCF_000001405.40 Homo sapiens | reverse complement strand
ATTTGATTGTAGAATGACCTTTAGTTGTATTAATGTTGCTGCAAAGGACAAGTTTTTTTGTTGTTGTTGTTGTTTTTGCTAAGTAGTATTGCTGTACATGTGACACTTTTTAAATTCAATTTAGCATTAATAGGCTGGACACGGTGGCTGATGCCTGTAATCCCAGCACTGTGGGAGGCCAAGGTGAGTGGATCATGAGGTCAGGAGATCGAGACCATCCTGGACAGCATAATGAAACCCCCGTCTCTACTGAAAATACAAAAGTTAGCCGGACGTGTTGTCATGAGCCTGTAGTCCCAGCTACTCGGGTGGCTGAGGCAGGAGAATTGCTTGAACCTGGGAGGTGGAGGTTGTAGTGAGCTGAGATAGTGCCACTGCACTCCAGCCTGGGCAACAGAGTGAGACTTCATCTCAAAAAAAAAAAAATACCATTAATAGTCACGTAGGTTGATTCATGTCTTTCCTGTTATAAATAATGCAGTGATGAACCAACAAGTGCATGTGCTGTTTTGGTAGAATAGTTTATTCTCTTCTGGGTATACACCCAGCGGTGAAATTCTGCGTTGAATCATAGTTCAACTCTCAGTTATTTGGAAAATCTCCAAGCTGCTCTCCACAGTGGCTGAACTAATTTATATTCCTATAAACAGTGTATAAGTGGTTTTTTCCCTCTAAAACCCCACCAATATCTACTATCATTTTACTTTTTAACAAAAGCCATTCTAACTGGTGTACGATGGTGTCTTACTGTGGTTTTTATTTACATTTCCTTGATGGTTAGTGATAAGCTTTTTTCATGTTGTTTGGCCACTTGTATGTATTCTTTTGAACATTGTCTGTTATTGCCCACTTTTTCATGGGGTAATTTTTTGCTTGTGAATTCTTTAAGTTTCTTATAGATTCTGAGTATTAGATTTTGTCAGGTTTATAGGTTGTGAATATTTTTGCCATTCTGCCAGCTTTGGGGTTAGTTTGTTTTTGTTTTTCTAGTTTCTCTAAGTGTGATGTTAAATTGTTAGTTTGAGATCATTCTAACTTCTTGATGCAGGTATTTAGCACTCTCAACTTTCCTCTTAACAGAGCTTTTCCTACAACCCAGACATTTTAGTATATTGTGTCTCTTCATTTATTTCAAATTTTTTTTAAGTTTCTGCCTCAATTTTGTTGTTTACCCAAAATTCATTCAGGAGCAAGTTGTTTAATTTCAATGCCATTCTGTGATTTTGTGAGATTTTGTTGGTATTGATATTTATCTTTTTTCCATTGTGGCCTGACAGTATGGTTGGCATAATTTTCATTTTTAAAAAATGTATGGATAATTGCTTTATGGCTAGGAAGTGGTCAATCCTAGAGTATATTCTGTGAGCGATGAGAAGAATTTATGTTCCTTAGATGATGTGTGGTGTATACTATAAATGTCTATTAGTTTCAATTGATCAAGTGCGAAATCAAACTCCAGAATTTCTTTGTTAAGTTTCTGCCTAGATAATCTGACAAACACTGTTATTGGGGAGTTGCGTTTCCCTACTATTATTGCGTGGCTACTTGAGTCTTATTGTAGGTCTAGCAGTACTTGTTGTATAACTCTATGTTCCCCAAAGTTGGGTGCATCTATATTTAGGATAGTTAAGTCTTCTTGTTGAATTGAACTCTCTATCGTTATGCAATGCCTTTCTTTGTTTTATTTTACTATTAATGATTTAAAGTCCTTTTTTCTTAAAAGAGAAACAATTCCAGGTATGGTGGCTCATGCCAGCACTTTCAGACTGAGGCAGTAGGATTGCCTGAGACCAGGAGTTTGAGACCAGCCGAGGCAACATAACAACATTCTGTTTGTACAGATTCTTTTAAAGAAACTATACAGGTGTGGTAGTGTGCCCAACTGTGGTCATATTTACTCAGGAGACATAGGAGGCATGACTGCTTTACTTCAGAAATTTGAGGTTACAGTGAGCTGTGATTGCACCACTGCAATCTGTCCCAGGAGATAGAGTAAGATCCTGTGTATAAAATGAAAAAATAAAGAAAAATAAAATGATTTTAAGTTAAAAAATAATTCATAGATCTCCACTTCTTTAGGGTCACTTGAATATATATTTTTCTCGTTTCATTAGGCTATATTTCCTGGTTGCTTTTAAGTACTGTGGTTTTGTTAAGGTTTTGGTCAATTAAGAAACCACTACCTATTTTATCCTTTATGAAAAAGCTTTGTACATGGGAAAATTGACAATATTCAGCCACACTAGTCATTCCGGGAGCTTCTCCAATCTGTTGTCAAAATGTGTCTTCTTTGTACTGTATGTATTTTCTTGTTAATAAGGTTTACCTCTCTTTCCTCTTAGGAGCCTTTAGTCTCTTCTCTTTGTCACTGTTGCAGGCACTACAGTCTCTTTGTTGTAAGAAATATTTATCTTTATTCTCAGTCGACCCAAGCTGTCATTTAAACTCTATCTCTATTCTGGTCAACACTAAATGTTAAAGGTATAAATCAATAAGTCAGAAGTTTGCATACACGTTTCACTCTGTTTTCTTTCCCGAGGGAGAATCATGGAATGGACAGAATTTTATCTAACTGCACTGTTCTGTAGTGCAGAAATGTAACCAAATTTTCTTTCTTCTAAATGTGGTTATGGTTGGCTTTTTTCTCATGAGGGGTGCTACAAACTCAACTGGCTTTGCTCACCCAATTGCAGTTAAGTTCATACATCCATTGAGAGAAACAGGATCTCAGGTTCTTCTTCAACTATCATTGTGTTCTCAGCTGGCCTCATTTTGTTCATTAGATTTATAAAATATATTTACCTTAATTTCATCACCGAATTTTTTAAAAAATTATTATTTTCCAGCTCTTTTAGCATTATATCCAACAAGACCCAGACAAAACAGTACATAGGAGCTTCTTTTCAAAAAGTAATATTGGGAAGATATGGGAGCTCTGGCCTTGAAAATTTACACTTAAGGAGAGTGGGAAATTGAAGGATAAGTGTAAAGGGTACAAAGGATGCTATGATGAATATACCAGATATAGAGCAACTACCTACAGCAAAAATGTCACTGCTAGAAGAGCTCAAAACCATAAAGTATTTTGGAAAAAGCATAATTAATGTTGATTCTTTTTTCTGAACTATATATTTGTATAATTACATATCAATAACAATTTTTGAAACATCATGTTTTTGAAACAAAATTTAGAAAATCGCAATAGTGGCCTAGGCCAGGAATATATCTTCTAATGCTATCCCTCCCATAGTCCCCCACTTCCTGACAGGCTCCAGTGTGTGGTGTTCCCCTTCCTGTGTCCCTGTGTTCTCTTTGTTTAACTCCCAACTATGAGAGAGAACATGTGATGTTTGCTTTTCTACTCTTGTGTTAGTTTGCTGAGAATGGTGGTTTCCAGCTTCATCCATGTCCCTGCAAAGGACATGAACTCATCCTTTTTATGACTGCATTGTATTCCATGATGTATACATGCCACATTTTCTTTATTCATTCTACCACTGATGGGCATTTGGTTTGGTTCAAAGTTTTTGCTCTTGTGCACAGTGCCATAATAAACATATGTTTGCATGTGTCTAAGTAGTAGAATAATTTATAATCATTTGGTTATATACCCAGTAATGGGATTGCTGGATCAAATGGTATTTCTCATTGTAGATCCTTGAGGAATTGCCATACTGTCTTCCACAATGGTTGAACTAATTTACACTCTCACCAACAGTGTAAAAGTGTTCCTATTTCTCCACATCCTCTCCAGCATCTGTTGTTTCCTGATTTTTCCAATGATCACCATTCTAACTGGAGTGAGATGGTTTCTCACTGTGTTTTTGATTTGCATTTATCTAATGACCAGTGATGATGAGTTTTTTTTTCATATGTTTGTTGGCTGCATAAATGTCTTCTTTTCAGAAGTGTCTGTTCATGTCCTTTGCCCATTTTTGATATGGTTGTTTGTTTTTTTCTTGTAAATTTGCTTAAGTTTTTTGTAGATTCTGCATATTAGCCCATTGTCAGATGGATAGATTGCATAAATTTTCTCCTTTCTGTGGGTTGCCTGTTCACTCTGATGATAGTTTCTTTTGTTGTGAAGAAGCTCTTTACTTTAATTACATCTCGTTTGTCAATTTTGGCTTTTGTTGCCATTGTTTTTGCTGTTTTAGTCATGAAGTCTTTGCCCACGCCTATGTCCTGAATGGTAATGCCTTTGTTTTTTGGGGGGTTTTTATGGTTTTAAGTCTTACATTTAAGTCTTTAATCCATCTTCAGTTAATTTTTGTATAACTAGTAAGGAAGACGTCCAGTTTCATTTTTTTGCATATGGCTATCTAGTTTTCCCAACACCATTTATTAAATAAGGAATCCTTTCCCCATTACTTGTTTTTGTCAGGTTCATCAAAGATCAGATGGTTGTAGATGTTTGATGTTATTTCTGGGGCCTCTGTTCTGTTCCATTTGTCAATATATCTGTTTTGGTACCAGTACCATACTGTCTTGGTTACTGTGGCCTTTTAGTATAGTTTGAAGATAGCTAGTGTGATGCCTCCACTTTTGTTCTTTTTGCTTAGGATTGTCTTGTCTATGCAGGATCTTTTTTGATTCCATATGAAATTTAAAGTAGTTTTTTTTCTAATTATGTAAAGAAAGTCAATGGGAGCTTGATGGGGATAACACTGAATTTATAAATTACTTTGGGCAGTATGGCCATTTTCACAATATTGATTCTTCCTATCCATGAGCACGGATTGTTTTTCATTTGTTTGTGTCCTCTCTTATTTCCTTGAGCAGTGGTTTGTAGATCTCCTTGAAGAAGTCCTTCCCATCCCTTTTAAGTTGGATTCCTAGGTATTTTATTCTCTTTGTAACAATTGTGAATGAGAGTTCATGCATGATTTGGCTCTCTGTTTGTCTATTATTGTGTATAGGAATTCTTGTGATTTTTGAACACTGATTTTGTATACTGAGACTTTTTTGAAGTTGCATATTGGTTTAAGGAGATTTTGGGCTGAGACGATGGGGTTTTCTAAATATACAATCATGTCAGCTGCAAACAGAGACAACTTGAGTTCCTCTTCCTATTTGATTACGCTTTGTTTCTTTCTCTTGACTGATTGCCCTGGCCAGAACTTCCAATACTATATTGAATAGGAGTGATGAGAGAGGGTATTCTTGTTTTGTGCAGATTTTCAAAAGGAATGTTTCAAGTTTTTTCCCATTCAGTATATTGGCTGTGCGTTTGTCATAAATAGCTCTTAATATGTTGAGATAAGTTCCATCAATACATAATTCATTGAGAGTTTTTACCATGAAGAGGTGTTGAATTTTGCTGAAGGCCTTTTTTGCATCTATTGAGATAATCATGTGGTTTTTGTCATTAGTTCTGTTTATGTGATGGAATACATTTATTGATTTGCATATGTTGAACAAGCTTTGCATCCGAGGGATTAAGCTGACTAGATC